>NC_000002.12:148095678-148398708 GCF_000001405.40 Homo sapiens
ATCTTTATGTATAATACCTATTTTAAAATTAATTAAGTTATTCTGAGTTAGTTTTTTTTTTTTAACTTTTCTGGCTACCTTCATCAGACTTGAGAAAAATGCTATGAACGAGAAGCATTTTGAGATGTTCTGTGTTTGGAATGTTAAATGTTAATTGGGTTCTCTGAGCTATAAAGCCACCTTAAACCATCTTATGTGGGGAGAAGGAAGGGAAATTGAGGTACAATTTTCTCTTGAAAGAGAATATAGAAAAAGTAATTGAAATGCTATTGAAAGTTAAAAGTGATATTATTAATTTTTAATTTTCTAAGGACAAATCAGTTGTCCTTGTATAATCAATGTAATATTTACATTTTTCCACTTTCTTTTTCTGGTATGCTTTTGACCATTTCAAAGCAAATTATAAGAAAGCACAGAAGAAAAAGGAAATGACACAGACTATAAACATTTAACTGGAAATTTATTAAGCATTCTGGAAAAAGCTAGCAGATAAGTTGCTAAAATGACAAAGCTGTAGAATCATACAATAGTCTTATTCCTTACTGCAAAGCAGCAGTTCTCAACTGGGAGTGATTTTGTCCCTCCAGGCACATTTGGCAATGTTTGGAAAAATTTTGACTCTCCAGACCTGAGTGCTTGGGGTATTGCTACTGGCATCTAGTGGATACAGGTCATGGATGCTGCTAAACATCTTATAGTGCACAGGACAGCTCTCAATAACAAAAAATTATCCAGTCCAAAATGTCAACAATGTGAGGTTAAAAAACCCTGCCATAGAAAGTGATGTACATCTCTCATTTTGAAAATAACAGAAATACAGAGATATGCTTGAGGCCATACAACTACTGAGTGAAGTGGCCAACACTTGAACCTGGATGTTCTGACACCAAGCCATTGTGCTTTCCTTGGCTCTGATTGTTCTGCGAATTAAAACCTCAGTTGTCTTTGAAGTATTATGGGGAAAAAAATAAGAGAGAGAAAGAATCATTAAAATCAGTGCTATGTCCCCATTTTTGTTATGTTTCTTTTAATTGTACTGTCATTGGATTTATATTTTGTTCAACAATGTCTTCTTAATACAACACCCAGAAGTACCCTTTGTTTTGAAATTGATAGCTTCATTAAAAATATAATACATATTATCAATGTTTATTCAATTCAAGGCACCTAGTGAGGCATATTATAGAGATATAACAAAATATTAAGACAAAATTCAAACTTTCAAGGAAACCAGGGTAAAAAAGAAAATGAAACCTTTGAAATATGGGGGAAGTTATTCAAAATGTAAGTTGAACAGGGATAGAAACAATCTTGCATCTGAAATTGATTGCAGGAAACTACCTAAATGTCCAAGAATAGGGAATATTTGGGTACATGACAGTATTTCTATAAAAAGGAATATTATATACTTATTATAACTGATATTTATGATAAATTTATAACAGCAAAGGTATATGTTTATGTTAAGTGAAAAAAATAGGATACAAAGTTTACACAGCTACTTTTAGCTAAGATGAAAAGTTATAGAAAAATACTAGAAGATAAACTATTTGGTGTACAGTATTACTTATAAATTCAAAGTGGTGGCACTACTGCATTGTACTAAACAAGGTAAGTTATATTGATCCATTCATTCATACAGTGAATAGTTTCTCAACGCCTTCTATGTTTCAAGCACTTGCTAGATCCTTGTAGTCTTATTAGGGAAGACAGGTAGCAACGAGTGTGCTAAGTAATAAAGAAGTCCTGTGGGAGTGGAAAGCTGAAGCCATATATTATTAGTAAGAACCTTCATAATTTATCACACAAGTTATTTGTTTTTCATTCAAATAATATCCAATTTGTATTAGGTGGCCCTTATCCATCTTGCAGAAGCATATGGTTTCTTAGGTCTCCAAGAAAGAGGAAGGGAGAGTTTGAGAATCCCACAGGATGTTTTGAAGGGCCAGTCTTGTAAGTGGTTTGTAAATCAGCTTTATTTCCCCAACCAAACTGGAAGCCAGCCTGGGCAATGTAGACGAGGTACATTTGACTATTTGGTAAATACCAACTCTGCCTCTGGTCTTTACCACAGATTGAACAATTCAGAAAAGGTTTCCCCAGAAGCCATAGCATTTAAATTGAGACCTGAAAAATAAAAGGTAGTTGGCTAGAGCAGGAAGGAGGTAAAAAGATTCTTTCAGGTAAGAATGTTGTGCCAGTGCCTAGAGTAAGAGAAGAATACTACCTTCTAGGAACTTCATGAACGTTTAAAACTTGAACATTGAATGTAGGGGCACAGCAGGCAGGGGCACAGTCCTGAAGGACTTTATAAACTGTGTAAAGGTGTTTAGAAATTAATTCTGATGGCAGTGGGAAGTCACTTGCAGGTTTCATGTGTGATAAAGTTTGAGTAACGTGAGGAGAGTAATGTGATAAAGTTTGTATTTTAGAACGATCACTCCAGTTGCAGTGAAGAATGTGGATTGGAGGAGAGCAAGACAGCAGGTGGGAGACCAGTTTAGAAGTTCTAGCATCAGTCCAGTTAAGCAATGGTGGTGGCCTGTATAAGGAATGGGAATAGAAACAGATAGATTGGAGAGGTATTTAAGAGGTATAGTTATTGGAATTTAGTATTCTTTTGGATTGGCAGTAGCGGAAAGGGTTACATGAGAGAAAGGGAGTGATTGGTTGAGTTTGGCACATGTTTGAGTTGGAAACATTCAAGATATCAAAGTGTTTATATCCAAATGAGACAAGAGATCCTAGCTAAATATATAGATTTTTCAGCATATAGATCCATGCTGTATGCTGAAAGCCATGAGAGTACATGAGTTTGCACAGGGGGAATGTGTACTGAGAGAAGAGGGTGTATGACGGAGCCCGGTGGACAGTATTTAAGGAAGAGGTTATTAACTTTCACATTGCATCTGAATCACCTGGTGAGCTTTTCATAAATATCATACCTAGGTTTCTCACTCCACTAATTGCAAATCAGTTGGTCTCAGGTGTGTGCTAAGGTATTCTACTGTTTCAGAAGTCCCGTGGTGATTCTATGTATAGCCAAGCTTGAGAACCATTGATGTAGGGGTTAGGAAGAAGACGAAGAGAGGCCAGGTGTGGTGGCTCATGCCTGTAGTCCCAGTGCTTTGGGAGGTGGAGACTGGAGGATTGCTTGAACCCAGGAGTTCAAGACAGGCATAGGCAACATGGCGAGACCCTGTCTCTACAATAAAATAAAATAAAAATTAGCCAGGCGTGGTGGGACACACCTGTGGTCCTAGGTACTTGAGAGGCTGATGCAGTTGGATCGTTTGAGCCCGAGAGGTCGAGGCTGCAGTGAGCCATGATCGTGCCACTGTACTCCAGCCTGGGTGACAGAGCAAGACCTCATCTCAAAAAGTAAAAATAATAAGACAAAGATAATACAAAAAAGACTAATGAGAAGTGGCCAGTGGACAGGAGGAAAACTATCTGGTATTTCCAAGACAAAGAAATAAAAGTTACAAGGCGTGAGTTTTTAGCTGAGTCAAAAGCTGCTAATGAGTAATGAACTTACTTATAATTAGTATTGAGGAATGGAAGTAAAAACTTACAAGAATTAGAGAAAGTAATCTTGGAATCTTTAGTTAGATGTGCATTATTTTATCTCCAAAAAGAAAATTGTGATACATCTTATAGAATACTTTTGTCAATTCATGAATGTGTTTATATATTTTTATAATAATATTGTTATTTCTTATAGTTTCAGACTTAATTAATGAAAAGGGAAAAAAGCAATTAGTACTGCCTTGAAATGTACCAAGTGCATGATCTTTTAAATATGGGACACTTTTAATGGCAGCTCTGGAAAAGTTCGGCAATTTTGGGCATTTTGGAGGTTATCATGAGGTTCTACAGACTTGGGTAATAAAAGAAAAGTGAGAGAAAGTGTCAGGAAAGAAAGGTAAAATGAGCTGAGGGAGAACTGTCTGATATGTAAAATTTTCTAGAACCCAAATCAGAATGTTTTACCACTGAAATTCATCAGATCTGATGCCTTTGGTATATTTTGGGTGTTCTTAATTAGGAAGGACTCATTTGGAAGGATGCTAACTCCAGTTTATCTTTGTTCAGTTCTAACCTACTGAATTTCTGAATATCTACTTCCTCCAGTTTTCCAAGGTCTACTTTTTCAGTCCATGTATCTTTCAGCAGGGTATAGGTGGAAATGATCATTCATTCACATAAAAATATTAATCCAATTGATATTTATTGATCATCTAGCATTATTTGATGCTAGGTATGAAATGGTAAATAAAAGTCATGCCCTCAAGGAGCTTACAGCCTAGTGGGGTAGACAGATAATTAAACAACTGGAATATAATGTGTTGAGTTTACCAAAATCTGATAGACAGGGCACCCAAATCCATCCCTTAGAAGTCAGTTGAATCTTCTAGGAGAATGTGACATTTCGAGTGAGACCTAAGATCTTTAAGGAGAGTAGGAACTTGCCAAGTGAAGGTCAGAGTGAGTGTTGGGTCACTGGGGAGGAAGAATGTGCCCCAGGCTGAAGGAAGAGTTGGAGGAGAATGTTCTTGAAGCAAGAGAAAGCAAAGAGCCATGCATTGACTATGAAAATTAGATCACATTAACTTCCCCTTGGCTTCTCTAACTCAGTTATCAGGTATACTCAGATTTTCCTATAAGTTCAAACCTCTATTTATAGCCTTCAAATAATGGCAAATAATAACTGAACCTTCTTTCAGTTATCTCCTGCTGCATAACAAATTACCCCAAATTAGTGGAATAGAATAGCCATTTTATATACTCACAGATTGTGGGTCAGAAATTCAGACAGGGCACAGTAGGGATGGCTTTGTCTCACTTTCATGCTGTTCGGGGTCTCAACTTGAGGACTAGGAGGCTGTGAGGGCTGAAATAATCTGCAACATTGTTTATTCGTGTGTCTAGCAATTGACTGTGTTTGGCTAGGGAGCTCAGTTCTCCAAAAGGGCCTGTGCCATATGTTCTCTCCTCATAGGCTAGTTTATGCTTCTTCATAACATGGTGATCAGATCCCAAGAACAAATATGTCAAGAGGAAGGAAACTAGGTGGAAGCTTTATCCTTTGTATGACCTATTGTTTGCCATACTCTTTTGGTTGGAGCAGTCTTAAGCCTTTGCCCACATTCAAGGGATGGGAGCATACAACTTACTTCCCCTCTCAATGGGAGGAGTGTCAGTCACATTGTTAGAAGAGAATGTGGGATAGGATTGATTGATTGATTGATTGATTGGCATCTTTGTAAAGTACAACTTGCACACTCCTCATTTCAGAATGTTTACAAATAACAAATCTATATTCCACTGCATGGGTAGGTCACTAATTATCATTTTTAGTTTTAGCTTACCTGTTGGTTATTCATCCATAATGTCTTTGACCTTACTTTTAAGGTATATTGTAAATTTTTTTGTGGCCCCATTCTCTCTTAATATTTGCAAAAACGGAAAGAAACCTAAAACTGGTAATAAGAAAAATTAGGTCAGGCACAGTGACTTCTAGTGCTTTGGGAGGCTGAGGCAGGAGGATCACTTGAGGCCAGGAGTTCAAGACCAGCCTGGGCAACACAGTGAGACCCCATTTCTAAACGTTAAAATTAGAATTTAAAAAAATTAGCCAGGCATGGTGGCACATGCCTATATTACTAGTCATTCAGGTGGCTGAGGCAGGAGGATTGCTTGAGCCCAGGAGTTTGAGGTTGCAGTGAGCTATGCTCACTCCACTGCACTTCAGCTTAGATGATAGAGAAAGACCCTGTCCCTAAAAGAAAAAAAAATCATATGGTTCCAATGGAAATCAAAAATATTTTTAATTAAAATAGTGATAAAACTACTGCTTATGTGTTGTCACTTTAGTTGTCACATATATATAAATGGACTTCAATGAACATTCTTTCAGAAACTATAGGGATTTCAAGTAGAGGACGTTCAGTACTATTTTATCATCTTTACAAACATGCTAGCTAGTTAGGACAGTGTTTTTTTAACTTCATCTTATTGCACTATGCTGTCTGCTAGCTTCAGCTGGTAATATAAGCAGAATATTAAACTAGAAAAATTGTGTTCTCTCAGTAAAAATAGGTGCTAAAATTAAAAACACAATATATTACACTTCTGTTTGTTTTGTCTTTTGGTTGGCCCTGATATTCTTGTGCATAGAATTGTTTAATATCTATGTCTGTGTGAGATATGTGTGTATGTGTGCATGCATGTATATACATACACACACATAGGCTGAACAATTTGAATGTCATACTTGCATATTTAGCCATAAGTCTCAAATTAATCCTTTTCTTGTTTCTATCTTAACCCATCACTGACTCTTTCGATTTAAAATGCTCCAGGAAGGCCTGAATTAAATTGAAAGGAAATTTTTTAAAACTCATATCTGTTCCTGATATCAAGTTTTCTGTTCTAATACATCCTATCTGCCCTTCTCCTGCCTCAAAATACTGTAAGAACAAGGTTGAACTGTAAGAAGTTAAACAGGATGTTATTTTCACCTACTTTGTCCAAATCTCAGAATCACAGACCTGAAAACGGCTTTCCAATTATTTTATCAAAACCTAAGTTAAGATTTTACAAAGGCGGTTTCAAAAAAATCAAAAAACAAAAAACCTAGTTTAAGAAGATGGTAGTGTCCACTGTTTCTGTCAGGTGCTTTACATTTGTTACCTCATTTAATCCTCACAGTTCATAGGAGTGTGTGTTATTCTCTATGTCACAGAGAAGAAAGCTAAAGCTGGAAGAAATGAAGTAGCTTGTCTGTTACACAGCTGTGACATAGTGAGGTTACACAGTGGTGACATAGTGATGACTGCAGAATTCTAGGCCATATCTCCCTAATTCCAAATACTGTGTTCTTTCGGTGGTATCAGTATTGGTTGCTTTTCTGTAATATTTCTCAGTTATTTTGATTTTGATTTCACATTTATATGAGGAGTCAGAATTAAATTGCTTATTTTACACACACACACACACACACAGAGAGAGAGAGAGATCACACACACACACACACACACACACACACAGAGAGAGAGAGAGAGAGAGAGAGAGAGAGAGGAAGAGAGAGAGAGAGAGAGATCCAAATCGTTTGTATAGGGCATTTGTAGGAGCAGTAGAAGACTTAGGAAAGCAGAACATTGGCACTACCAGGAGCTCACAGTCTGTTCACTGGCAGATCAAATGTTTTGTGGGGAATTTTTTTTTAGCTCTTTGTTATGACCAAAAAAGTATACAAAAGAAACTATGAAAAGCATAATTTATTATATGTTGTACAAGACCAGAACATTCTAACTCACCAAGAAAAGATAGATGAAAAAATTTAATCAGAACATATTGAATTGTCTGTAAAAATATATATAACTTATTCTGTAAGAAATCAGACTGTTGTCTTAGAATAAATTCCTCAGATATCCATGTAAGCTACATGAGGAAAATTAAATGTGCTTTATCTGCTTGTATTATGTTTTTCTTTATTGTTCCCAAGCCAAAGCCGGCTCCAACTACGTTGCTACTTACTGACTGATCCTTCTGTTATTTTGCTTTCCATCAAAGTCTTTTTTTCTCTTCAGGGTAGCATATACTCTAACACTGGGGTTGCATTTCTAACAGATCAAAATTAATCTGATTGAAAACATTGCAGCTTTGAAAATATTTTAATATTTACTGTAGTGTCTCCTGGGTAAATATTTCTGGGGCCATAGAAAAGTTAAGATAAAAGTAGTGGTATGAGATACTCTCTCCGAAGCTCATCACTGATAGAGGGAGAGCCAGGACTGTGGCCTTAGTTTAGGGAACCTTTCCAGGAAGCAACGCAACCTGTTGATGTTGCGATACATGCTACATGCTAAGTAGGCAAATTGGTGCATATGGTTTTGAAACAGCCTCAGAATTCAGTGAAGTGCCCTTTCTTTGTTCTAGACCAGAGATATACCCACCTTTTCCATCCCATCATAGATCCCCTGGATTTTTTCATACAGTTTCTAGCCATACAGTGCATAGAAAACTCAAATAAGATGGATGTGATTTTCTTAAAAAATTTCATTATATTTTAGTCAAAAATGAATCTCTGAAGTTTTATTTCAAATTAAATAAAGGTATCTGTGCCAGAGCTAGGAGAATAATTTAAAAATATTATATAATTCATATTATTAAAACTTGTTTTGGGCATTATTCAGTAGTAAATTTAAATTCCTACTCCTTAGGAAATAATTTTTATAGCAAGTACCATGCTTGACCAAGGCAGTATGGCATATGTGTGCATGATGAGGCTGTGAGAATATGAGATTTTGCAGCATTAACCTGAGTACCCTACTCTTCCCTTTCCCCTGACTAACTCTAATTTATTCTTCAATAAACAGCTTAGAAGTCATCCTTTCAGGAGATAATCTTTGATCTCTTCATTTAAGATTAGGTATATCTCCCCTGGGAACATCTGTAGTGCCCTGTGCTTGCTTCTGTCATGGTACATCTGTTTATTCTCTCCCCCTCACTGGACCATAAGACTGTTTGTTGTAAGCTGACTGTTTTTCATCTTGTATCCTTAGCAGCTAATCTTGTACCTGATACTTGGTAGGTACTAACATCTTTGTTCATGAGATGCATACATGAAAAAAATGAACATGAATAGATTTACAGGTATTTTGTGAAGCACAAATTCATAGAAGATGGTGTTTGCAGAGGAAAAGGCCTGAATTTGTTACCCATGAAACACTAAACCAGTGTCTTTATTATGCTTATTTGTCCCAACCTGCAATATTATTTTTGTTCCTTTGGATCTTTAACCTATTGCATTAAACAAAAAATGATTGTCATTTAAGTTAAGTTTTACAACTTTGTCAGTAATGTTTTAACACCCAATCTTAACAGTTTAAAAAATGAGTGTTTAAAAATTTTCAGCATTCTCGATTTGCAGTTGTATTGTTAATTTTCTTCCCAAAGAATGTGGCCTTAGTTAGTGCATGCCAGTAGCAAATTAGATTTGCCTTATCATGAAAACTTGACTTTTGGGTGGACTCTTTGGAATATGTCTTTGTTTAGAGTTATGGGCTTTCTGATTTAAACCTAAAATTGGGTGAATAATATTTTCAATTTTTGTGACACTTTCATGTTTACAAATTGCCTTCATTTGAGTATTACATTAAAAAGTAATACTCAAATAATAAGCTCATGAGATATTTAATGCTTGTGAGTTAATATAATAGGATATTATAATATCCCATTTTTTGAATAAATAAATGAAGAATTATAGAGGTTAAATAACATCCTAAATTGTACAGCTAGTCTTGGAATTTTATCTGTGGGTAGATATTTACTGTTGAGCCCATTTCTTTCATAGTATTATTCAGATTTTTCTATTTCGTCTTGAGTCAGTTTCAGTAAGCTGTATTTTTCTAGGAATTTGTCCATTTCATCTATGTTTTCAAATATATTGGCATGAATTTCTTTTAATATTTTCTTATTATCTGTTTAATGTCTGCAGCATCTATAGTTATATAGTTAGATTATAACGTTTCTTTCTTTTTTTTTTTTTTTGAGACAGAACCTCACTCTGCTGCACAGGCTAGAGTTGAAAAGCTCAATCTCAGTTCACTGCAACCTCTGCCTCCCAGGTTCAAGTGATCCTCCAGCCTTAGCTTCTCAAGTAGCTGGGACTACAGGCATGTGCCATCACACTGGGCTAATTTTTATATTTTTAGTAGAGATGGGGTTTCACCATGTTGGTCAGGTTGGTCTCGAACTCCTGACCTCAAGTAATCTGCCCGGATCGGCCTCCCAGTGTGCTGGGATTGCAGGCATGAGCCACCACGCCCGGCAAGTTATATAGTTTCTCATGTTAGCAATTTGTATGTGCCTGCCTCGTTTCTTCCTTGTTCCTTACTGCTTTTTGTAAATCTCTCCAAAAGTTTGTCAGTTTTTTAAGACTTTTTTCAGGGCCCGCTTTTAGCTTTCTTGTCAGTTTCATTTTATTTTTATTTTCTATATCATTAATTTATCTTATTTTGATTATGTCTTTTCCTTTGTTTCATTTTGTTTTTCTTATTAAACCTATTCTATTCAATTCTCCGATTAGTAACTTTCATCCTTCTTTTCCATATGAAGCATTTACGGCTATAAAATTAAAATTCTCATCAAATATTGCTTTTGCTATATACAACAAAATTGTATTTAGATTTTTGTTTTCATTTTGAGATTTTTAGAAGTGTGCTGCTTATTTTGAAAACAATTGGATTATTTCTAGTTATATTTTTGTTAATAAATTCTAACTTAATCTCATTATTATTAGAAAATATGGTTTATATGTCAATTATTTGAAAATTGTTCAGTTTTACTTTTTTGTCCTAGTACATAATCAAGTTCTGCATATGTTTCATTTTGGAAACATACTTAAAAATAATGTGTATTCTACAACTGTTGATGCAGTTTTATATATATGTCCTTTATATAAGGATAATTGTTGTTCAGATCTTCTGTATTATGGAATTGTCTTCTTTACCTTTCAATTACTGACCTACATTAAATATCTTCCATTTTGGGGTGTTCGTGTAGTTCTTGTTAAATTTTGCTTTAGGTATTTTGAAGTGATGTTATTATTTACATACAAGTAAATAAATGAAATCTTTTATCATTTTTAATGATACTCATATCTAGGAATGCCTTTTTCCTTAGAGTATATTTGCCTTAGACTAATAATAATATAGTTTTTGCTAATAGTTTTCATGAAAATCTTTTTCTACTTTATACTTTATGTTATGTAATTGTCTCTTGAAAAGAAAAACATATAACTAATTTTAAAAATCCAACCTGACAATTTTTATTTTTTGCTGTATCATGATACATTTATATTTATTGTATTTGCTGTTATATTTGAATTTATTTCCACCACTTTGTGTTTTTATTTTCCTATTATTTTTTACTTTTTTCTCCTTTATTGCCTTCTTTTTGTATTACTCAGTATTCTTATTATCATTTGTTTTCCCTTCTACTAGTTTGGAATTCATGCAGTCTATTTGTAGGTGGTTACTCAAGAAATGGTATCATGTGTACTTTTCAATTTATGTGCATACTTTTACTATCTAACCAAACAAAACAAAGGCCTTAATGCAGAATATTTTTATTACATTTTTCCAATTTATAGATTTCTGTTTTATTCATTTAATTTTGTCATTTTAACAATGTAATAAATAATTATTGTTTTATAACATTTATATTCCTTAGGTTTACTCACATATTTATCATATTTTTTCTTGTCATTCCTTTGGCATTACAGATCTTCTATCTGTTATTATTGTCCTTTTGCCTGGAAGGATATCAACTTATCCTACTTACTCTATCTGGTATTTTAGTTGTTTTAAGTGGTATTCATCCAATAATATCCTGTGAGGATATTAGAGTAGTAAAACCTCTCAATCCTTATTTATCTCCAAATGACCTTATTTCACTGTGATTCTTAGAAGTTATTTTGAGGGGGCATAGAATTTTAGGCTGTGAATGAACTTCTTTTAGTGTGTTGAAGATATTATTTTAGTGTCTTCGGGCTTCTACTATTTCTTTTGAAAACTCATTAGTCTTTCAGTCCTTTGAATGTTTCCCTTTGAGATCTTTTACTTTTCCTTGATTTTCTGCAGTTTCACTATGGTGTGTACAGTGTGTATTCTTTTTTATTTATCCCAGTTGGGATTCATTGGGTTTCTTGACTGTTTGAATTGAGTTTTTTTTTATCAGATATGAAAATTATTTCTCCCAGTATAGCCTCTACCTTCTCTCTTTGCTAGCAATCCAACTTAGATATATTTTACATCTTGTCATGTTATTTTTCATGCCTCTTCCTCTCGAGACTATATTTGGTATAATTTTTTATTTCTCCTTTCCAGTTTTCTAATTCTCTTTTCAGCTATATTGAAGTTGCTGTTTAACTTATTCATTGACTTTTTTGCTTTAATTATCATGCTTTGCATTTTTAGAAATTTTTTTTTGAGTTCATGGTTATTTTTGCATTATTTCTTGAAATATATGAAACAGTTATATTGTATGTATAGTGTGTAGTAATTCTAATACCTCCATCTTCTTAGGATTGATTCTGTCACATATTTTTGTTTGTATGTTTTACATATAATGTCTTATTTTTAAATGAATTTAAATGATTTTTTATATCATGAACTACTCATTTTTTTAACTTTACATGTGAAGAGAATGTTTCTGTTTCTGTTAGATGCCTGAGAACAGTATTAGTACAATACTATTAATGTAGGATCACTTTAAATTGTTAGCTTGAGGTTTTGTGGATCAAATGAGTAGTGAGGATTCAAACTACAGACTTCAATGAAGGCTCTCTTGTGGTTACAAATTCTCAGAGAAGATTTATATTTCCTCTCCCCCGAGTTCCAAACTTCTGTACAGCCAATTTTCCTTGCATTTCCTTAGGGAAAAGGGTTGGGGGTGGGTGGGAAAGTGAGTACTGTGTCATAGTGCTTTAAAAGCATAGTCTCTAGACACAGAGTATCAGAATTTGCATTTTGGATCTAATACAAATTAATACTAATCTAATACTAATTAATACTAATTTACCATGAGCAAATTATTTAACCTTTCTGTGCTTCACTGTCTTGACCTCTAAGGTGAGGATTATAATGGTACCTTTTTTATAATTTTTGTGAAGATTAAACGAGTTGATATCTTTGACACACTGAAAATGCGGTAAGCTCTATAAATGTTTGCTACTGTTATTATGATCAATGTGGTGTGTCTAGTTTATGCTTACACTAAGTAGCCTTTTGTGGTCCCAGCATTATGGATGGTCGGCTATTGGGTTGTCCCACCTTCTGAAGCAAGAAAAAAAGAAAAAAAAAAAAAAGCTAACGCTCAAGTTCAGCTGATTCAGCAAATATTCTCAAGGTGAAAAACGATTTAAGTGCTTGCCGTACCACTTTCAGTACCAGTCTTAACTTAATCTTGTCCTCAGCATTTCTTTTTTTGCTAGCTCCTGGGTACATTTAAGAGTTTTTGTTTGTTTGTTTGTTTTACTCTATCTGGTATTTTAATTGTTTTAAGTGGTACTCATGTTACAGGACATAGAAGTCTATCATACAGCTTGTAAATGCCAAAAGTAAGGCTAAAATCCCAACCGATTATGAACATGTGCTTCAAAAAATAGCTGGACAAAGAACATATGTAGACACTTCCTAAAGAAGAAATGTTGCATGGGCATTACATTTGCAAAGTCACTGGTAATACCAAAACAATACCATTTTCTTATCAAATTAGGGAAAAAAGGATGGAAGGGATGGAGGGAGGGAAACAGAATTTGAAACCCATTATTGAACATTCAAGAATTCAAATGCCTTCGTATCTTTTACTAACAAGAATGCTAATTGCAATAGCTCCTATGCAAAGCAGTTTGGCAATGTATGTCCAAATTGTTAACATACTTATATTTGGCCAGGTGTGGTGACTCATGCCTATAATCTCAGCACTTTGGGAGGCTGAGGTGGGAGGATCACTTGAGGCCAGGAGGTGGAGGCTGCCGTGAGCCATGTTTGCACCGCTGTACCCTAGCCTGGGCAACAGAGTGAGACTCTGTCTCAAAGAGAAAAAAAATTATATTTGTGACATAGATTTCAAATCTAAGAATTTATAAAAATAGATAATGTGCAAAGCTTTAGCAACAATATGGTCATTGCATCACTTTATAGAAAATTAGAATTTTGGAAACATAATTATTTCATCATAAGAGAATGGGTTGATTTGACTATTAAATAGCCATGATATATAGCAATTTTAAAAGATGTCTTTGAAGGATAGGTATGCCATGGAAGAAAGTGCATGATAATTTGTCTACTAGAAAAAGAGATGATTGCAAATGAAAATATACAAATGATCAAAAATTTTTTAAAAGCCACGATTATATATAACCATAATTAAAGAGTTAAAAGTATCCAAGCTCATCAAATTGTGTACATTTAAAATATGCAGTTTTGTGTATATCAGTTATAACTCAATAAAGCTGTAGGTTTTTGTTTAAATGGTTACAAGTAACACCTCTTGGGAAAGTGGCTTGGGATGATTTTCAAAACATTCTCATTTTGCTTATTTGTATTTTCTACAATGATCTGAACATTATTAAAAATAGATAACATACCATTTAATAAATTCCTCAATAAGTTATATGGTTAAAATTATTTTGTATCTATATTTTATAATCTGCCACTTTCTTGGCATGTTCTAAGTACTTTTCCATGTTTCTTCATGGTTTTGGAATTATCCCCCGATGACCACATCATATTCTATTTCTTAAAGTACTAAAGTTAATATATTTTCACCATTGGTGTAAATATTTACTTTGTTGTCATTTACTATGAATAGCATATCAATTAAAATAATTCTGAAGATAATAGTAACAGTTACAATTTACTAAGTGCCTTTTTGTTGCTCCACAAAAGTTATCACATTTAATTCTTGGAATAATTCTATGAGTTAGATATTATTAGCCTCTTATTAAAAATGGTGACACTGAGATTCAAAGATGCAAGTGATTGATTAGAGCTAGTGAGACGTTGAGCCAGAATTCAGTCTAGGTTTGTCTTATTGTTTCTTGATTTGTCTAAATCTTTTCTGGTAGTATTTCTAAAACTGTTTTGTGATTGTTGACAGGAAATGTGGTCAGGAATGAAAGTTAGTTTGCATTAATTCTCTTTTCAGGTTCTTATCTGTATTTCCAAATGTTTAAGACTTGTCTTTTCCTTTAGAGTATTGTTATTAAGACTGATACCTTTCAGATTCTCATCTTGTGCATCAGAGCTCCCCTGTTGAATCTCTAGAAGCTTTTAAGATCTTTTTCCTTAGTGTTGTATTCTTTCTTAATGATACACCTTCTTTTTTCTATTTTCATCCTTTGGCCTGGAAATTAAGTAAACTTCTTCCATTTGGGAATTGTTCCTGTTTGTTTTTTTTTAATATACTTTCTTGTCTTCTCATTTTGTTTGTGGTGTTGTTGCTGCAGGATCGTTTTTTAGCTCTCATCTTATTTGGATGCTGGTCCTCTCAGGCTGGTCCTCTAATTGTCTTACCTTTTTCTTTTTTTTCCTATGGTTGATTTCTCTATTGTTTTAGTTCTACCCTGTAAGAGACTTCTTTAGCTTTGTCTTCTAACCCTCTTTTTATAAATTTATGCTATTTTTATCATTTCTCATGAATCTTTCTTGTTCTCTGAGTTTCATTTCTATAGCTTCTGATTCTTGTTTCCTGGATACAACAGTTTCTTATTTCTATGAGGTTTTTATTTTAAAATTTTTTTGAAGTTTCTTCTGTTCTCCAAATTTAATCGGGGGATATTTTGGCTTCTGTTTTCAATTAGTTCATTATTTTTTAATGTAAGGACATGCTCAAAAACTGAGGAGACATGTCCAAAGGACACAGAAGCTAGTTTAAAGGGGATTCCCTCTGGAATATACTTACTAATTAAAAAGGAAAAGGTACCTTTAAAATAGAGAAATCTGGCAGATATTGTCTTAGCCAGAAGACTAAATTTCACAGCACCAATAAAGCACAGCCTGATATCCTGTGCCTTCAACTGTGGTAAACTCCAGAAGGAAAAGATGCCACTTTTGTTTCTGCCAATAATGTTTAGCCTAAGTCTAACCACGGGGAATTTACCAGACACATTCAAACTGAGGAACAGTCTGCAAAACTACTGACCTGCACTCTTCCAAAATGTTAGTGATGTGAAAAACCAAACAAGATTGTAGAATTGCTGTAGGTGAAAGGAGAATGAGAGTGAATTATCCTAAATTGAAAGGAAAAAAAAGCAAAAACAACAAAAGGTTGTCTAGGACACTTTGCAGGCAAATGGAAAAATGCAAATATAGATTATAGATTATATCACATTAAACATAAATGTTAAATGTCCTGAATTTATCATTATATTATCACTATTATATGTGAGAATATCATTGTTCTTAGGAGATATCTACTGAAGTATATATTTTCACAGTGTGTGCAACTAATTATCAAATGGTTCAGCAAAAATTATAGTATATATACAGATACACAGAGGTCCCACTTTGTCTGTGGGGGTAAGTTCCAAGGTCCCAGTGGATGCCTGAAACCACTGATAGTTCCAAACCCTATATATACTATGTTTTTTTCTATATGTACATACCTATAAGTTTAATTTATAAATTAGAGACACAGATTAACACAAATAATTAACAGTAAAATAGAACAATTATAACAATATGCTGTTATAAAAGTTATATGAATGTGGTCTATCTCTCTCAAAATATTTTATTGAACCATACTCACCTATTTTTGGGCTGCAGTTGACTGCAGGAAACTGAAACCATGGAAAAGGAGCAACAACTGTACATATACACAAACACATACCCAGAAATAAGGGAAGGCAAATGTGACTAGAGCCTAGAAATTGCTTAAACGAGATGAAAAGTAAATGTTCTGTGGGAATACTGTTATTGGAACTTTTCTTAGGTTTGAAATTTTTCAAAGAATTTATAGTTCTCCTAGCCTATATAAGAAATTATGTGAATATGTGTTTGTGTACGCACACATGCATTTTTGAGAACATTTAGGGTATTTACTAATATCCTATTTCCCAAGGAATCTCCTCAGCATATGTACATTTTATTAGTAGTTCTGCTCTGTCATAAATATCCTAAACTAAAATGTTCTGTTCTTCTCTATAAAATTATACCATTTATAAGGTTTCTTGAAATGTTTTCCTAAAATGGCCTAACAAACCTTTGTACCAAATACTTTATACTTGGTGCAAAACGAACGTCTTTATGAATTTTTAACACTTTGCAAAGTAACATAAGCATGAGGAATTATCACATGAGCCTCTTTGCAGTTCATGGTTTACAGTACTTAATACAAATAGTCTTAGGTGCTATTTCTTCTCCCAACAAATTTAGTTTTAAATGCTTATTGTTGAATCATTATTTCATTTGTTACCCAATTATACTTACATTTTATTTAAATCTAATTCCCACCATATTCTGTTAATGGCTTGTCCATCTCATTTGGTCTACTATGGTGCTGAAATTGGAAAAAAAAAAATTCAATCTGGACTCAGAAATCCCAGGAGTCCTGTTCTGGCACTTACTACTTCTAAAACTCAGGCACCTGTTTGATCATCTAAAAATCTCATTGGCCAGGCATGGTGGCTCATGCCCGTAATCCCAGTACTTTGAAAAGCTGAAGAAGGAGGATTGCGTGAAGCCAGGGGTTTGAGTTTGAGTTCGAGACCAACTTGGGCAACAAAGTAAGACCCTGTCTCTTAAATAAATAAATCAATGAATAAATAAATATCTCATTAGACCAGTTACACAGATAGCAATCACCAGTATTACTTCTACTTTAGCGTACAGTGAGTCAGCCATGCCCCTCATTATTATGTGGCTTCTACAGCTATTCACTGACAAGCTATGGCTAAAAGCTTGCTGCTTTTATCACACAAACTCCTAATACTTGAGGTGCAGTTGGGGTTATAAATAGGTGGTATGACCTGCAGTTTCTTCTTACCCTTTGTAATAATTCATTCTATGATCTAGTGATCAATGCTTCCTTTTTGTTCATAAAGTTAAACTTTTGTGTAACATTAGGTGCATTGTGTTTCATCTCCTGGGAATATTACCTTGTCAAAAACTTTTTTTTTAACAGTACTTACTCTCTAACTTATACTATTGATATTTTTGGCATTTACTGTTAACAGATTCCAATCTTGCTCACTAAAATGTTGTTGACATCCCCAGTTTTGTTGGAGGACTAGAAGATAGAGGAGCTTAAAATAACATGTGTAGAGAAATGATTTCATTGCTTCTTCTGTTCCAGAGGAATGTGAGTAGTCTCAATATACCTTAGTCTGTTATAAACAGCTAATTTTCAGTATGAAAGCAGTTGTTAGGAAAAGTTAATCAGTAGGACAGAATGCTGAAACTGGAAAATGATGTGCCCATCACTTTGCCTTTCAACTCCATTTTTTTTCCTCTTTGTAAATAATCTGAATTATGTCTACTAAGTGGTTAACATAACACACAAGTTTGATTCTTTTATATTTTTAAACTAATTTTCTGTTACAAAGTAATATCTTTTTTAGAAAACATAGAAGAAAAAGAGGAAATAAAAATCACATGCAGAGATAATCATTTTAGCCCTCATTCTTCCAGATTTTTGAGGGATTTTTATTTTTTTAATTAGTTTATGTTATATTGTTACCTGATTCTTTTCATCAACAGTATATTGTGAACATCTTTCTAGGTCATTTAATTTTCTTTTGCACTGTTATTGGCTGTATAATATTGTATATTTGGCTGTATAATATTGTGTAGTTTTTCCATGATTATTTAAACAGCTTCCCATTATTGGTTCAAATATTTTATATACTAGTGCTCTGATTACATTGATGAAATAAATCTTTGGACACAATTTCTTTTGAATAAAAAATACAGTTGCTAGGTAAAGAGTATTCCCATGGCCAGGCATGGTGGCTCACACCTGTAATCCCAGCACTTTTGGGAGGCCAAGGCAGGCGGGATCACAAGGTCAGGAGTTGGAGACCAGCCTGGCCAACGTGGTGAAAGTCCGTCTCTACTAAAAATACAGAAATTAGCCAGGTGTGGTGGTGTGCGCCTGTAATCTCCGCTTCTCGGGAGGCTGAGGCAGGAGAATCACTTGATCCTGGGAGGCAGAGGTTGCAGTGAGCTGAGATTGCACCATTGCACTCCAGCCTGGGCAATAGAGTGAGAGTCCATCTCAAAAAAAAACCAGAGTATTCCAATTTTAAAATTTTTCATCCATATTGCTGAACTACTTTCTCTTAAGGACTCTATACCAAAATGGTTTAATTTAATTGTTAGAGAAAACCAGTAAGGGGTGTGGCTGGTTTAAATACTGTCTGAGAATTCCACATAACCTCTCAGCATGCTGAAAAATTGTTGGTTAAAGGTCTGGACGTGAGAATAAGTTACTTACTGTGTGCTGTCATTAGAAATAACATATTAGGAATTACCAGTATAAACTGAAAGGAATACTTATGTAACAGCACAGGATATTTTACCAATATATAAAAGCTATGAGCTATAAGATAGGTTTGATTAATGTAGTTTCCCCTTCTTTTTTCTTAAATTGGAAATGTCTTTATTGCTGATTCTAATAACGAAAATAATGTGTACATTGAAAAAAAAAGTCTACTAGTATACAGAGAATAAAAATTCCTACCTGTAACAGTACTCCTTATAGATAACTACTGAAGTTTGTGTGTATGTATATATGTATATGCATATGTATAAAGTATCTGCATATACATACATATATACAATTATGTATATTTAATTTTTTAAATTTATGAAAGTGGGATCATACTCTAATCGTTCTGTACAAGTTGCTTTTTAAATATCTATCAATATACTGGTAACATCTTGTCAGATTACTACATATAGATTTATTTCCTATAGATAATCATTTAGATCATTTTTCTTTTTTCTTTGTTACAAATAATGGGTGTATTGATTATCATATACAGACATCTGTGTGCTTTATTATTATTTTCACAAAATAAATATTTCTGCAATAGTGGAATTGTTATTGGTGAGCAGTGATAAGACTCTGAGCTCTGCTAAGAGAGCTTGCATCCCAGCCTTCGCCACTGACATGCTGTGTAATTTCGACAAGCTAATTAACCTCATTATAAAATTGATATGATTCTTGAAGCCACTTTACAGAATCGTTGAGAATTCTGCATTCTCTATTAACAAGAAAATGCATGTAAGGTATTTAGTATGGGTACCTGGCACAGAAGAAGTACTAAAATATTCCCTATTGTTAGGAATTTCCTCCTTTAGCGAATTTTCTATTTTTTCTTTCATTTTTCTTTTGGATAGTTTATGTTTTTTATTGATTATAGGAGAATTTTGCATACTAAGAATAGTTACTATTTTGTGAGCTATACATATTTTTCCTAATTTATCATATCTTTTGCTGCATTTACATTTTATATTTTCATTTACTCAAATGTGTCAGTCTTCTATGGTTTTTTGCCTTTGTGTCATGTTAACAAAGAACATCTCTACTGCAGTATTATAAAATATCTTTCTGTATTCTGTTCCAGAGATCTTATCATTTTTATTTTTTACATTTATTCATTCATTTGAGACAGGGTCTTACTGTCACCTAGGCTGGAGTGCAATGGCATGATCATGGCTCACTGCAACCTTGACCTCCCCAGGCTCAGGTGATCCT
Source organism: Homo sapiens (assembly GCF_000001405.40). Lineage (NCBI taxonomy): Eukaryota > Metazoa > Chordata > Mammalia > Primates > Hominidae > Homo > Homo sapiens. The sequence continues at coordinate 148,115,953 of NC_000002.12, forward strand.
CCTACCTCAGCCTCCCAAGTAGCTGGGACTGCAAGTGCATGCCACCACGCCCAGCTAACTTTTGTATTTTTTTTAGAGGTGGGGTTTTGCCATGTTGACCAGGCTGGTCTCAAACTCCTAGGCTCAAGCCATCCGCCTGCCTCAACCTCCCAAATTGCTGAGATTACAGGCATGAACCACTGCACCTGGCCCCATTTTCTACATTTAAATATTTACGTTTACCTACATGTTTTTTTAATGTGGCTAGTACTGTTCCTTCCCCCCACCAAGAGACATATTGGAAATATAGAGTTCTTTATAGGTTATCACCGTGACTGAGAAGTCACTACTGGTATTCATTGCTCAGAAGCCAGAGATGTCTGCCAGAGTCCTGTAGTGCAGGGGATTGTCCCTCAACAAAGAATTCCTGAGTCCAACATGACGTTGAAATGTCCTGCCAGACCTCAGAATCTTACTATTGCTTTCTGCCAACAACAAACATGTGAAAACTAAGCATCTAAGAATTCTAAGTAACAAACAATGGGATTCATCTGTTGCTTCTCAGATTAACTGAGCTTAAAAATAATTATACCTCAGGATGTGGAGGAATTCTGAATTTCATGTACCAGGGTGGACGTGTAGGTTAGTTCAACTCTTTTTGGTTGTTTTATTATTGATTCCTCCTTTTCTTTAGTAGTATAGTTCTGCTTTATTGACACAATTCCTCTCCATATAACTGAAAACAAAGTTAGAAAATTTCAGTCACCATTCCTGTTTCTTGCAGTATCTCTCTTCATTGAATACCATTTATACTGATTGCTCACATTGATCTTTCTCTTCTTAGCTGCTGATTCTACTTTTATATCCAGTATTCCTTATTCATGTAGGTCTCCACTAATAGTATTGTTTGCTTTCTTGCCCTTCTGCAGCACATAGGTAAGTCTGATTGCAGGGGTTCCCTGGAAGGAGTGGGCTAGGGAACAATGGTTTTAACTACTGATTAAGTGTATGATGAACTGGTAGAATGGAAGTTCATTCCTTTTCTATACATTAAGGTAGATCAGTCATTCCTTGTTATTTTATACCTTTTGGTTTAATATAGATAATGTACAGTAATTTGAGTTTATAGCCTTCTGGTAGTAAAAGTTTATTTAAAAACAGTATTAAAAGGTTGATAAAGATATAACTAACAAATAATTTTCCATAATACCATTTTTCTCAGTGTTTTTTTAAAAGCAATTACCCATAAGAGAAGCTGAAAAAAGGCATCTCTAGAATGTGGAAGCATCTTTAGAGATTATGACGAAAAGTTAGATAGCTATAGCTTTTATAGAATTTCAATAACAAGCACAGTAATAGATCTCTTATAGTTCTTTCTTCTTTCCTTTTTCAATAAAAAAAAAAAATGGAGTTTCCTCAGAGGACTAAGACATGTGTAGCCCAAATTTATAGCCTTTTGGAAATTATGTTTTCTCTAACAATAGAACTTACAATATTTAGAATAATGAATGAATTACATCACCTTAAATAATTTCCCACATCTCATTTTTCTCTGCTAGATCTTGCATAGATATTGTATAGAAAGCAGTTGTTTGTAGATGCCAGTCCAGGACATACCTATATATTTTTTTAAGCCAGATGAAAAAATAGGTAAAGTTAATATCCTTTTAAAATAATTAGACTAACCAGAGCACATACCTGGATGGAGAAAAAATTTGCCTGTGTATATAAGAGAACAAGACAGCTGCCATCTCCATCATCAAAATTATCATTATTATGTTTATTAAGTATTTAACTGCATGGCAGACAATAATCTATATGCCTTCAATGGATTATCTCATTTAATTCTTGTAAGAATCCAATATAGTACATATTATTATCCCCATTTTGCAAATGTAGAAACTGAGACAAGGAGATTTAGGTTACTTGCTCAAGGTCTGATAGCTAGAATAAGACCTAAACTGCCTGAATTAAAAATGTATGCTTATAGTATCATCTTCAGTGAAAAAGAGTTTTTGATCTGCTCCAGCACATGGGGTAAAAGTTTTGGCTGAGTCCTGGAAATCTGCACTACAAAGCACCATAAAGCATCTTGTCCTGTGTCTTACTAGAGTAGGTATTACCAGTATTCCACTATAGCCCTTAAAGAATGGTCGCCACCATTACCCAGAACTTATCACAGTGCCAAGCTCATAGTTGGTAAGTAGTAAATATTAACAGAGAATGAGAGAATATCTGTAATCATGTTCCCATGAACTGACTAAAATGATGGATGACAGAGTCTCATTCTACCAAATAAGTTAGTGTCAAAATGTGCCCCCCAAATTACAAATATGAATTAATTTGCCATATTAGCTTATTGCTGTAAGTCAATTATGTTATTAAGAATAACTATTAGCCTGGCACAGTGGCTCATGCATGCAGTCCCATCTACTTAGGAGGCTGAGATTGGAGGATGGCTTAAGCCCAGGAGTTTGAGACCAGCCTGGGCAACATAAAAAAAAATATATATATATATATAGTTTAAATTAGGCTGGAATGGTGGTGTACACCTCTACTCCCAGCTACTGGGGAGGCTCAGGCGGGAGAATCTCTTAAGCCCAGGAGTTCAAAGTTGCAGTGAGCTATGACTGTGGCTCTACACTCCAGCCTGGGTGAAAAAAGAAAAAAAAAAACTATTAAAATTCATCATTTTGGCTTGTATTACCCGTCACAAAAACTCTGTATCCATTAGTGATCACTCCCCATTCTCCTCTGACCCTACTCCCAGCTCTAGGCAATCACTAATCTGTTGTCTTTCCCTAAAGTTTTGCCTATCCTTGACATTTCATACAAATGGAATCATACCATATATGGTGATTTGTCACTGACTTTTTTCATTTAGCATTAAAGTTTTCATGGTTTATCCATGTTGTAGTATATCTCCTAACTTCAGTACTTTTTATTGACAAATAATATTCCATTGTATGGATATATACCACATTTTGTTCACCCATCAGTTGATGGGCATTCGAGTTGTTTCCACCTTTACTTTTATGAGTAATGCTGATATGAATATTATGTACAAGTTTTTTTGTGGACATATGTTTTCACTTCTCTCAGGTATATACTCATTATTGGAATTGTTGGGTAAATTTATATTTAACATTTTGAGGAACTTCTAAAGTATTTTTAAAAGCAGCTGTACCATTTTACATTTCAAAAAACATAATGGGCATTCCAGTTTCTTCATGTCCTTACCAACATTTTTATCTATCTTTTTTTATTGTCGCCATTTTAGTGAATGTGAAATGGTATCTCGTTGTTTTGATTCACATTTCCCTAATGACTAATGATATTTAACATCTTTTTCTGTCCTTATAGGCCACATTTATAACTTCTTTGGAGAAATGTCTATTTAAATCCTTTGTGCAATTTTTAATTGAATTGTCTTTTTATTACTGAGTTTTAAGTGTTATTTATGTATTTTGATTACAAGTTTTTTAATCCTATGTGATTTACAAATATTTTCTCTTATCCTATGGGTTTTCACCTTCTTGATGGTGTTCTATGCAGTACGAAATGTCCTAGTTTTGATGAAGTCAAATTTATTATTTTTTTCTTCTTTTACTTGTGCTTTTGGTGACATACCTAAAGAGTTCTTTGCCTAACCTAAGGTCACAGAGATTGTTTCCTGTGTTTTCTTTTAAGATGTTATAGTTGTAGCTCTTACATAAAGGTATATGATCATTTTGAGTTAATTTTTATGTATGGTGTGAGGAAGTGATCCAATATCATTCTTTTTCATGTAGCTCTCCAGTTTACCCAGCAACATTTATTGAAGGTGATTCTTCTGATTGAATGTTCTTAGTACCCTTGTCCAAAAACAGTTGACTGCAAAGGCAAGGATTTACTTCTGACTCTCTGTTCCATTAATCTATATGTCTACCCTATGCCAGTACCATCTTGTCTTGATTACTATAGCTTTGTAATTTGCCTTTTTTTTTTTTGGAGACAGGGTCTCACTTTGTCACGCATGCTCAAACATGCTCAAATAAAGTGACACGAACACAAAAGCTCACTGCAGCCTCAATGTCCAGGGCTCAAGCCATCCTCTAATCTCAGCCCCCTAAGTATCTGGGACTACAGGCGCACGCCACCATGCCTGGCTAATTTTTATATTTCTAGAGATGGAGTTTTGCCGTATTGCTCAGGCTGGTCTCAAACTCCTGGGCCCAGGCAATCCTTTTGCGTCGGCCTCCTAAAGTGCTGAGATTACAGTACTCCGCACCTGGAGTGTATACATTTTGAATTGTAAAGTGTGAGTTTTCTAACTTTGTTTCTCTCTTTTTAAGATGGTTTTGGTTATTCCTGCATTTCCATGTGAAATTCTAATCAGCTTGTCAGTTGCTGCAAAATCGCCAGCTTGAGTTTTGATAGGGATTGCGTTGAATATGTAAATCAATTTTGGGATTATTGACATTTTAACAATATTAAGTCTTCTAATTCAGAAATGTAACATGTCTTTTCATTTATTTAGGTTTTCTTTAATGTCATAAAGAAATGCTTTGTAGTTTTCACAGTGTAAGTCTAACACTTTTGGTTATTCATAAGTATTTTCTTTTACATGCTATTGTAAATGGAATTATTTTCTTAACTTCACTGTCCAACTGTTTATTGCTAGTGTGTTGACATATTGTTAACTTTGTATATTGGTCTTGAATCCTGCTACCTTACTGAACTCATTTATTACCTCTAATAGGTCTTTTGTTGATTTCTTAGGATTTTCTCTGCATAAATCATGTCCTCTGCAAATAAAGATTGATTTAATTATTCCTTTTAAACCTGGCTGTCTTCTATTTCTTTTTCTTGCCTAATTTTCTTGTCTGGAAACTCCAGTACAATGTTTAATACAGACAGTGAAAGTCTTGTTCCTGATCTTAGAGAGAAAGCATGTAGTGCCTCATCAATAAGCATGATGGCTATGACTTTTTCATAGACGCCCTTGATCAGATTGAGGAAGTTTCTTTCTATTCCTAGTTTGTTGGATGTGCTGATTAAGTTATTGATTTAAAAATACTCACAGCATTTTTACAATAGATTCGTCATTTTATATTTTAGAATCCAGATCAGATGGAGACTAAAGTAGCCAAAATATCTTTCACCTTTATTAACAGCATTGTCTAGTGCATCCGTTTTCTAGCTGTGTTAAATTGGACAACTTTAACTTCTGTTGACCTGAGTTTCCTCATCTGTAAAACTGGGTTTGATTTTAGTGCCTACCTCTTAAGGTTTTGTAAAGATTTAACTATTTACAAGTAAAAGATTTAGAGTAGCAGTTGACACTTGTTAGTGCTAATATACCTTGGTCGTTATTAAGAATATGCATAATTTATGCATGGATTACATCCAATATATTTTTCACATGTATAGCCTTTTTACAAAGGCATGCCTAAAAAAATAAGATTTTATTTAAAGCTTTATTTCTAACTTTTGGGTTTTTTTTTTCTTTTTACAATGATATGCATTTCTCTCAGTAGTAAAATATTCAAGCAAACTTCTCTATGGCTATATATCTAGCACCTACAAAAGCAGGTAATGTAAGATTCAAGAAACCATTATTCAATTATTGGAAACTTTTAAAGTCCATTTGGTTTGTTTTTATACCTTGCCTGTTTTTACAGAAAACTTCAGTTTTTCAGGTCATTTTTCTTTTAAAAAGCCATGCAACATGTCTGAAAAGCTTGAGAGACATCGTCCTGGTTTTGATATGTAGTTAGCTAAACTGATTCCTTTGAGAACCTGAATGAATGGATATGAAAAGCAACACATCTTGCCATGAGGGGTTAGATTCATTAAGGATACTCTAAAAGCTGAAAAAACTACATTTCTAGGCTTTCTTATCCACGTTTTTAAAAAAATTATTTTGTACTTAGAGAATTCCTTTGGATATAAGTTAAAAGAAAGAAAGGAGACAGATATTATATTTTCTTATTTTCTAATGTTATGAGTTAGACATATAGGTCTAAGAAGAAATTTTAAAAAGAAATTCTTTGGATTCTTTGGAGTCAACTCTCAGTTTCAACATGTTAATTTCTTTACATTATGGAAACCCTTGCATATGATTTACTATCATCTGATAAGACTTGCATCCTGTTTTTAAATCATTCTTTTAAAACTCTAGATTTAACTGACCTCCGCATTTTTGGTCAGAAATAAATTTTTGCACAAGCGACCATTTGAGCACAACTCCTAATACAGAGGTAAAATAACGTAAAGATCCAGAGCCCTGCAAATAATTATCACAAAACTGTTGTTAAAGCAGTTGCCTTTCTCTTTACACCCTCACTAAATTTATTGACTTTTAACATTCTAATTGTCTGGTATATAAAAGTTTAGAAACAATACCTGATTATAGAGATTTGTGGAAGTATTTTGGTAGAAAAGAGATTGCCTTAATTAAAAGAGGAATCTTAAAAATGAGAGACACAAATGACATATGAGAGTGTATCTTAATAGATGGACTAGAGTTTTCAGGTAAAGTTAAAATTATTCTTTGCCTCTCTACTTACGAAGGCAGGGAGGTACATGATATGTTTTAGAATGCTTTTCTTCCAAAGTTGTTAATGTTTAAAAATTTGATATTTGAAGAGGTAGAGTTACTTAGAAAATTGGTTATGTCAAACACTTCATTTTCTAAAAACTGCATAAAAGAAGTATTTTATTTTCTTAACATTTTCCTCGAGGTGGCTTGACGAAACTAACGGATACCATTACCCATTCAATATGTTGACTGTCTTTTGCCTATAGTTAGTAAACTATGCTATGTTGCATTTAAAATGTCCAGTAAACAGTGAATAAGCGAATAATTATGTTAAATGCAGTGGATGTGAAAATAGCCTTTGTAAACTGTGAAATGCTTTATAGAGTTAAGTCTTGGCCATTTTTATCACCTTCAAAGCTACATTTTATTTTACTTTCACTGTTGCCTTCTTCTGTAAGGGACATAGGATAGTGAATGAGAGGCCATATATGAGGCCAAATGACTTAGCCAAAGGCAGAGATGACTAAGGATAGACAGGCTGGGGTGAGCAATGAAGAGGTGGGTGGATGTAATGAGAGCTAAGAACATGTAACTTTGTGTTCTCACCAAGTGCTGCTCTTCCTATCTTTTACCTCCAATCCTAATGGTTTTCTGAAGTCTTTCTCCTGTTTAGTCACATATGTGGGCACACAATGAGTACTTATTAAATATTTGTGAAATTATTAAAAACTGAAGAGTTTGAGCTCTATCATTATGGGAAACTTTTCAAATTTTTGGAAACTTTTCAAACTTTTAAGTTAGAAATGTCACATGAACAGATATATGTCTTAAGAAAATGACTATGATATGAATTGACATGAAGAGATTAGAAACATAATGTAGAAAGCTATTATAATCCAAGTATGGGACCTTGAAAGATGGGGAAATGTTAGAAAACAATATACCACAATGGTGGTGTAAATTTAACACTTTTTGGTGACTGTTGACTGACTTGATTGAGAGCCTTGTAAAAAATATAGTCAGAGGTGATTCTGAAATTTGTAGCATGAAAGTTTATGATTGTATTAACCAAGATGTAGAACAAGGGTCAAAGTAAGATGGGGGATGGATAATATAGGTTGTGTTTTGAATGTGTTCTTTGTATGTTTAGTATGTGATATCTGCCTAGAAATGTTCACCAGACAACTGGAAATTTACCTCTAATATTCATACATGAGAGGTTAGGATTAGTGAACAGATTCTGAATAGTTATGAGTTGACACTATTAAAATAGGTGAAGTCCCCAAGGGAGGTATCTGTGCAGGAAGAAGACTGCTGAGATCTAACACTTGCAGCAACATATGTAAAATTGAGCAGAAGAGTATCCAGTAAAGGAAATTCCATAGAACACATAGGAAAACAAGAACTCAGAAGAGCAAAGGATCAAAAAAGACAAAGGACAGATTACTTCGGTGGTGATGGTAATTAATAAAAATATCTGTAGTGATTTTTTTAAAAGAAACTTTAATTTCAAGAACATCTCATTGTGTTGTTAAAAAATCACTGCAGGTCACTGTGGCTCATACGTGTAATACAGCACTTTGGGTGGCCAAGGAAGGTGGATCACTTGAGGGCAGGAGTTCGAGATCAGCCTGGCCAACATGGCAAAACCCTGTCTCTACTAAAAAATACAGAAATTAGCCAGGTGTGGCAGCACAAGCCTGTAATCCCAGCTACTTGGGAGACTGAGGCACAGGAATCACTTGAACCCAGGAGGCAGAGGTTGCAGTGAGCCAAGATCGCCCACTGCACTCCAGCCTGGGTGACAGGGCAAAACTGTCTTGAAAAAACAAACAACCAAACAAACACACACACACACAAAAAACAAGAAAACCCTGAAGGTTGGGCACATTTGCTTACACTGCTTGGGCCCAGGAGTTCAAGACCTGCCTGGGCAACACAGGGAGACCTTGTCTCTACAAAAAATCTAAAAAGTTAGCCGGGCATGGTAGCACATGCCTGTGGTCCCAGTTACTCATGAGACTGAGGTGGAAGGATTGCCTGAGACCAGTAAGTCAAGATTGCAGTGAGCTGTCATTGTGCTACGGAACTCCAGCCTGGGTGACAGAGTTAAACCCATTTTCAAAAAAGAAAGAATAATTACTGAGGGTTTTAAAAGATAGAAAGTGAAAGATAAGTGTCTCTCTCCTAAGTTGTTCCTGGAGTGTTAAGGTTAGATTTTTTCTGCATATTTTTAAATCCTTTTACTTGCATATATGAGCATAACTGTATTTTCCCTATTTCAAAATGCAAAATTTTTTGTATTTTCATATTTCTGAAATCTGGAGTATCCTACAATTGATGTATCTATTTAATTTAATGGAATTTTTCAGAAAGATTGGTATTTAATATGATTTGAGAATCAAGGAATAGTTATACATAAAGAATAAAAATATATGTACATATATTTATAATGTATCAAAGAAAATATAGTAAATAAGTATAAGCTATATATGATATATATGTAAAAATATATATAAAAGTGGGATCAGGATTATACATATATATTTATTTATATTGAGATATATTATTCTAGAACACACTTTTTAAACGTAAGATTTAATTATATCTAAAATTACTGTATTTCATCAATTCTAAGACGAACTTTCTTCATATTTTGACATCTCTGAACTCAGGTTATATTTAATCATTCCAGCATGTAGACGTGAGGAAAATAGTTGTTATTCTTTCTCTTTGCTGTATATTATTCTGTATGAATCTTTCATAATTTTTTTAACCAGTTCTTTATTTAGGAGCTAGGGATTTTTCTGTTTATTATGGTTTTTGGCTTATGTTTTCTTTTTGTTTTTAGCTTTTTACTATTACCAAAAATGGTTTAGTAAGCATTCTTTGTCTACCTCAAATGTTGTATTTATTTCATTTTATATAATGCTTACAAGCTAAATTACTATTAAATATACATTATGAAAATGGAATCATGGTTAAAATCATATTTTTACCTTTTTAAATTTATTCCTCATATTACCTTAGTTGACTTTCTAAAAGATAAATATGATCATAACAAACATATAATTCAGTATATAAATTCTGATGATATTCCCTCTGCTGGAAATACCCTTCCCAATTTTTCACTTTCCCATTCATACTTCAGGGCTCATCTTTGGTGTCATCTTGGAAGTCTATCTACAACCTCTCTGGTTTCTCCAGCACAGCCTGATGGCTTCCTATGCTTAACTCCTTTTAATACTTATCACTGTGTAGTGCAAATGCCTTACTTAATTTTCTGTCTCTCTTACTAGGCTTCCTTGATGTCTGGGACTGTGTAGCTAACACAAGGGCTATGGCTGCCACTTAATAGGTCAATAAATATTGAAAGAATGAATAATGCTATAAAATGTTTTGTTTCTAAATATTTTTTTAAAGGTGGCTATGAAAAGTTCTTTGCTATGCTGAAAAGGAAAGTAAAAAGAAAGATTTGTAGAGTCCCATGATTAGCTTAGAAGGAAATGAAAAATACATTGGTAGTATAAGTACATGCTTTCTTCTCTAAAAATCCCTCTTTAAAGGAAGCAGCAATTATTAATAAAATAAAGATGTGTTCAAGAGATCTGTTTACTAGCCAGCCAGTGCATCATGGAGAATTGTAGGTTAAGAAGCAGGCTGGGCGCAGTGGCTCACACCTGTAATCCCAAGCCCTTTGGGAGGCCGAGGCAGGCGGATCACCTGAGGTCAAGAGTTTGAGACCGGCCTGGCCAATGTGGTGAAACCTCGTTTCTACTAAAAATAAAAAAAAAAAAAAATTTAGCTGGGCGTGGTGGTGTGTGCCTCTAGTCCCAGCTACTTGGGGAGGCTGAGGCAGGAGAATCGCTTGAACCCAGGAGGCAGAGTTTGTAGTGAGCCAAGATCGTGCCACTGTACTCCATCATGGGTGACAGAGGGAGACTCCATCTCAAAAAAAAAAAAAAAAAAAAGTAGGTGTCTTTACAAAGGAAAAGTTACTAAAGATTTTGGATGAGGAAATACAATTTTAGTTATTAGATGGCTACATATTACCTTCCAGCATTTGCTGTATATGGTAAGTGTTTTCTCCCAGGTGTTCCCCTTCCATATTCTCCATACACACCAAAAGGGAAAAACGAAGCAATCCTTGTTTATACTTATATTTTTCAGGTTGTGGTATCATATGAATTACAGTATTAAGAGGAAGCCCCTAATCTGGGCAATTTGAATAATAGAAATAATGACAGTAATGCCATCTTTTCCCCCCTGGCTCTTTATTCTTAAAAAGCAGTTGGGAATCTCTTATCCAACATGTTAGATAGTAGTCATATGTACAACACACTGCTTACCCAAAAAAGCATGTCAGAATGCACTTTTATTGAGAGAGAGAATATGATTCATAGTATACTGATAGTCTTGAATTCTCCTTAAATTAAAAATATGTAAGATGTTTTGCAAACTTTAGCAATAAATTATTAGTAACAAAGTACTGTTGGGTTGTTTTCTTCAGCTTTTTTTCTTTCTTTTTTTTTTTTTTTTTTAGACGGAGTCTTGCTCTGTCTCCCAGGCTGGAGTGCGTGGCGCGATCTCGGCTCACTGCAAGCTCCGCCTCCCGGGTTCGGGCGATTCTCCTGCCCCAGCTTCCTGAGTAGCTGGGACTACGGGTGCGTGCCTGGCTAATTTTTTGTATTTTTAGTAGAGACGGTGTTTCACCGTGTTAGCCAGGATGGTCTCGATCTCCTGACCTTGTGGTCCGCCCACCTCGGCCTCCCAATTTTCTTCAGCTTTTATTTCAAGTTCTGGGGTACTTGCGCAGGATATGCAGGTTGGTTACATAGGTAAACGTGTGCCATGGTGGTTTGCTGGACAGATGATCCCATCACCCAGGTATTAAGCCCAGCATCCATTAGCTATTCTTCCTGATGCTCTCTCTCCCCGCAGCTCATGACAGGCCCCAGTATGTATTCTTCCCACTATGTGTCCACGTGTTCTCATCATTCATCTCCCATTTATAAGTGAGAACATGTGGTATTTGGTTTTCTGTTCCTGTATTAGTTTGCTGAGGATAACAGCTTCCAGCTTCATGCATGTCCCTGCAAAGGACATGATCTTCCTTTCTACGCCTGCATCGTATTCCATGGTATATATGTACCACATTTTCTTTATTTAGTCTATCGTTGATGGGTATTTGGGTTGATTCCATGTCTTTGCTATTGTGGATAGTGCTCCAATGTATATACGCATGCATGTATCTTTATAACAGAATGATTTAAATTCTTTTGGGTATATACCCAGTAATGGGATTCCTGGGTCAAATGGTATTTCTGCTTCTAGATCTTTGAGGAATCACCCACACTGTCTTTCACAATGGTTGAACTAATTTACACTCCCACCAACAGTGTAAAAGTGTTCCTTTTTCTGCACAATCTCACTGGCATCTGTTGTTTCTTGACTTTTTAATAATCACCATTTTGACTAGTGTGAGATGGTATCTCATTGTTGTTTTAATTTGCATTTCTCTAATGATCAGTGATGATGAGCTTTTTTTCATACGTGTGTTAGCTGCATGAATGTCTTCTTTTGAGAAGTGTCTGTTCATGTCCTTTGCCCACTTTTTAATGGGGTTGTTTTTTTCTTGTAAATTTGTTTAAGTTTCTTGTAGACTCTGGATATTAAACCTTGTCAGATGGATAGATTGCAAAAGCTTTCTCCCATTCTGTACGTTGTCTGTTCACTCTGATAATAGTTTCTTTTGCTGTGCAGAAGCTCTTTAGTTTAATCAGATCCCATTTGTCAATTTTTGCTTAACACAGTGCTGTTAACTCCCTGGTTAAAAGACCCTACTTTAAAAAGCATGTCTACATATATTACTTTTTATGCATATAATATATATGCTATACAGATATGTATTATTGATCCTTATAATAGCCTTGTACTTTTAGTAGAACAGGTTGTAGCATCCTGAACCCAATGACAAACAGTTGTCCAAGGTCACACATTAATTAGAGTTGGAGCAAAAACTAAGTCTTAAGTTTCTTTGTGGGACTGTCCTTTTTTGTTCATACCACATTTCTATGTCATGGACTGTAAATGACAGCACAAAAAAGCAATGCATAAATCTTTATATGCACATTTGCATATATACACATATATGCATGTTTTTTGTACTTAAAAAGCAGTTGGTAATCTCCAACATGACTATATGGTAGATAGTAGTCACATGTACAATATATGCCTTACTCAAGAAAGCATGTCAGAATGCATGTATGCATGTGTGTATGCATGTATTGCCAGTGAGCCACTCTTTAAGTGTCTGAAAATTGCTCTATCAGCAAGCATATAAGGCTTTACTTTTGCCTCCATCTTAGAAAAAAAAACTTAGTTAAAAGTACTGGATTTCATGTGCATAAAATGTTTCTACTTATTCAGTATAAAATGACAATTCTTGTTTCCTTAAGAAAATGATCTGGCATCTGATTGAATGTTTCTATCAGCATAACTTTGCAAAGATCTAGTGCAAAGGTGTGATCGCTAAGAGTTGAAGCTTTAGTCTATTTATTTTAGGCTAGCGATTTCAAATTGCCTTTCGTCTTTTTTATAAGGACCTTTAAAATACTATCCAACCCCAATTTTAATTATTTTCACACTCCCAGGAAATTAAAAGCAGCAAAGAACCATTAGCAGTCTTGATCAAGAAAACAGAACACAAAGATGTCTGAGGGAAACTTAAGGAACTTCTTAAGCAAAATAGTGACCCAGACCGGGTGCTGTGGCTCATGTCTGTAATCTCAAAACTTTGGGAGGCAGAGGCAGTGGATCACCTGAGGTCAGGAGTTTGAGACTACCGTGGCCAACATGGTGAAACCCTGTCTCTACTAAAAAATAGAAAAATTAGCCAGGCGTGGCGATGTGTGCCTGTAATCTCAACTACTCGGGAGGCTGAGGCAGGAGTAATCACTTGAACCAGGGAGGCGGAGGTTGCAGTGAGCCAAGATCACACCACTGCACTCCAGACTGGGCAACAGAGTGAGACTCCTTATCAAAAAGAAAAAAGAAATAAATAAAATAGTGACCCAGATATACTCTATCTCTAAAAAGATAGGCTCTGTGAAAATACAGCTGATACATTGTACAAAGAAGGTTGTCACTATATTGAAAGTGCCACTAAGCATTAAAACAAAAAACATTTTATTGGTAGTAAGTTTTAAGAGTATAGCAATTTAGGAAAATGTTGAAAATCTGGGGAAGAACTATTTTATATCTACTTGCCATTTTGTGGCTTTATAGTATATTAATTGATAATTCAGACATTACAAATATAGTTCACTGAATAAGTGAATAGACAAAGGTAGATTTGGTATTCATATTTAATTTGTTATTATAGAACATGGGCCTTTAATTTTTTAAACTTTCTGTACTAATTTCCATCTACACACTACTTAAACAAAATTTATTAGCATTCTGAAATTTGGATTACCTCCCTAAATAACATCATCAAAATGTTTGAATTAATAAAATTTTTCTGTTGTTCCAAATAATTGTGATTCAAATACAGTTTTCAAATTTAAGCAATTTCATGACATGGCAGACATTTAGCTGACCTCTGTAGGCCTTAAAATAACTTCATTATAGAACCATGAATGTAGAAAGTGTCTTTGAACATTTAGGAAAATAATAGCTTCAAGCCCATGCATTTTGTCCTAAAAGAGAAGACTATAACTATCATCATTATTTTGAAGAAATGTTAATACAAATTTTAATTTAATTATTTAAATAAACTTTATCTTCCATTTTCTCCTGACAGCGCTCAATTTTTCTTACATAGCAGATTAGAACTACTGTACTTCTCATAGCTGATGCAGTATAGCAATGACCCTGTACATCTCAGATGCCCCTAGAGTATCATTCTTTTATGGAATGGTACAGCAAATGATGAACTAGGTCACTGAAACCATGCAAAATTATTTTTGTATGCTGTCCTTTATGATGGATATTTCTGTTCATTACTATATAAACATGTAGAAACAAGCATGTAGAGAATTTTCACCAAGTATGAAACATTTGTATTGGATGGTCTAACAAAATACTGGCTGTGTGATATTAAAAAAAAAAAAATGCACTCTGGGGATCAGAGGAACCTATCTCACAGACCGGTTAAATTACAATACCAAAGAGGTTCTTATGACTCCTCATCAGGGGAGACATGCCTGTGTATTAAAACACTGTAGAAGGAAAAAACAGTCGTGTTAAATATGAGTCACCAATCAAAAGTCCCAAGGATGGATCTGCCACATTGCAGGCTTTGGTTTGCTATCCAGCTCTTTCTCGTGTAGCATACTCCAGAGTTAACAGCAGCAGGAATTTACTCACTTAGTGATGGTTAATGATTCTCCTGGGCAAGGTTGGGGAGACTAGCTAATATGTAATATATTTTTAAAAAGCTCACCAAAGGTGATTAGAATCCAAATAGTTTGGGCACTTAATAAGTGAAGCTTCACTTAACTGAAAACTGCATCCATCCATAACATCTCATTTCCTGATAATACGAGATGAAAGAGGAGTTCTTTGGCATAAAATGTAGTATACAGGTTATTCAAAGGGACTTACTTGTTGCTGTTTTTATAAAGGGGAGTTATAGGTCAAGTTATATTATCAACTAATGCAATGATTAATTGTCCATATTCTAAGATAGAAATTAATGAGGGCTTACTAGTTTGAAAGCACTTATTTTCCTGTCTTCACAAACATTAGACTATGAGGGTTTTTTTGTTTGTTTGCTTTGTTTTTTAGTTCAGGGAATATCTCTTGGTCATCTTTATTTTATTGTTACCTAGATACGCTGTATGACATGTAATGAGTGGTCTATAAATCTTGAATGAATGAATGAATGGCGTTTCATCTTTTCTTACACAATTTTCATAAGAACTAGCTTGCATTATCAAAAAAAATAAGTTATTGGGGGAGTTTGGTGGCTCATGCCTGTAATCCTAGCACTTTGGGGGGCCGAGGTAGGAGGATCACTTGATGCCAGGAGTTCAAGTCCAGCCTGGGCAACATAACAAGACCCCCATCTCTTCAAAAAGATTAAAAAATTAGCCAGGAATGGTGGCATGCAGCTTCAGTCCTAGCTACTCAGGAGGCTGAGGCAGGAGGATGATGAGCCCAGGAGTTAAAGGGTGCAGTGAGCTATGATTATGCTACTGTGCTCCAGTCTGGATGACAAAGAGCAAAACCCTGTTTCTAAAACAGACAAAAAGCTATATTCATTTTTTAAGAAATAAGGAAATTTTTGTATGCATTTAGAAAAATTATCTTAAATATTTTAAATGGTAAATAGAGTGCTATATTTTATTTATCTGGAAAAATCTTAAAAGTTTTTAATTCCTTGATGGTTATAGATGAGTGGGATGTTATCATCTTTTCAGCATAATGGCTTCTTCACCTAAGGGGTGTGTGTGTTTTCATGTGTGTGCTTTTTTGAATGCTATTCACTAATAACTACTTTGCATATAGTCAGCTTAGAGTTAAATGTTTTTGATAAATATGATTCCATTATTTTAAAAAGCTTTGAAGTCAGACTTGAGCTGCAATTCTGCTCATGTGACCTCTCCAAGTTTGTTTTCTCACTATTAAAATGAGAATAATTATGCTTACTGCATAGATCTATTACAAGGCTTAAATGAGATAATCTACTGAGTATAATGCCTCGCACATTGAAAGTGTTTAATAAATAGTCAAAACTATTGTTAGAGGATTACAAAAAGAGAGTTTTATATGAACTGTGGTAGTTTTTAAGGGTCTGCTCCTTCACATTTTTATTTTTCTAGAGACCTTCAAGTCTGCTATTGAAAAACAGGAAAAGAAATTATATATATACATATATATATATATATATACACATATATATATATATAGATGATTCATAAATTATCCTCTGTTGCTTTTACCTTACTGTAAACAAAAACTCTCCAGGCTTTCAATAGGAATGAATCTTAAGTGAAGTACGTCCATATGGCAATTCTGAAATGTAAAAATGAACTGCTTTTTTAATATTGAATAAGCATAAAAATCAAATTATGTTGCTTAAAAAGGAATCCTCATACATCTTTTCCCATCTTGCATAACACAAAAATAGCTAACTGCTTTGCTTAAATCATATTTGGAGGGTGACTAAGCATGAGACAGTTCCCAAACAAATCTTTGAGAAACTTATGCAGGAGTGAAAGTGAGATTTCAGCTGTAATCAGTCTCTTAATCTAGGTTAGCTCAATGAGGGTAGGCTGGTAAATTTTTAAATTCATCAATTAATCATACATCATTTTTCAAGATATTTTGGATTTTGCTGAAATATTAAAAATTGATGTGATTTCTTTTAAACCACACCTGGTTTTGTAGGCTATAGCTACTATGTACTTTTGTCTTTACAGGCACATGCATGTATTTTCATAAGAATGTTTATTAATTTACATAAAATGCATTAAACAGTGAAACCTTATCTTAAGGCTGACTTAAAATGTAACATATTATATATTGGTATACTAAAATACCTAAAAAGATTTTTTACCTAAAAATAATTTGTGTAACAAAAACAGCATTTTTATTGAAAAGTGGGGATATTGATAGTATTATAACAGAATGTTAATTTTATTAAAAATTTACGGTTCATGTGTCAGAACACATAATTTAGAGGGATTATGCAATCACTTTTAAAGGAAGCCAAAAAATCTATCTGCTGTTTCTTAGGTTCAATAGTAGTTTAATTTCTTAAAAGACAATACATATATTTTTAGAGAAATCTTTAATTTCCTCTTGGAGTTGTTAAATGCCATTTAAGGCATGTTAAGATATTTGGTATTGCAGTTTACCTTAATAAGCCTTAGATTCACAAATTATACCAAGCCAAGAAAGTTATTCTCAGTAGAATATTGAGATATGAATTTGCCCTTGTTTATATCCAACTTCTGATTTCCATTTGTGTAAACTTTGCAAATTTGAAGCTTCTGCTTTCACTTTGTTTTATTCTTTGTTTTTCTTGTCATTTTGGTTGTCAAATATAGAAAATAGTATGTTTAAATAAAACCATACTAGGCCGGGCACAGTGGCTCACGCCTGTAATCCCAGCACTTTGGGAAGCCAAGGCGGGTGGATCACCTGAGGTCAGGATTTCAAGACCAGCCTGACCAACGTGGTGAAACCCCGTCTCTACTAAATACAAAAAATTAGCCAGGCATGGTGGCATATACCTGTAATCCCAGCTACTTGGGAGGCTGAGGCCGGAGAATCGCTTGAACCCGGGAGGTGGAGGTTGCAGTGAACTGAGATTGTGCCATTGCACTCCAGCCTGGGCAACAAGAGCAAAACTCGGTCTCAAAATAATAATAAAATAAAATAAAATAAATAAAACCATACTATTTTCAGGAAATAAAACAAGTTACATATACTACTTTTAAAAGTAATTTAAATTCAAAATAATTTAAATTATTTTGAAAAGTTACTGTTCAAAACTAACATTATATCATGAAAATTTATTTGCCAGGATAATGAGGGCAGATATTCATCCAGCCAATTGCTGTGAATTTCATAGACATTCCTAAAAGAAAATATTTATCCAGAATATTCCAGAATATGAAATTTTTTTTCTGCTGATGGCCGTGTATTAGCCAGTCTTTGAACTAAATTTGATTTTACTTACTGCTAATCATGCCCAGCTCTTATTTTATTTTCATGATAGATAGATAGATGATTGATAGATAGATGACAGATAGATAGATAGATAGATAGATCGATCGATCTACCGATAGAAAGTAATAGAGATACAGATATACAAACACCCATATATACATATATGTTGAAATTCTTGGCATTAAAACAATGAAAATATTTAGTACTGGCTTTTCAATGTGTTTTTTATAAAATATCACATAGCTGGGCTTTGCTTTTTAACCCAATCTGAAATTTTCAATATTAAAGTGGATTATATTTCCTTTGAACATGGATAATAGGCAAATTCTTTGCTTTGTATTCTGATATTCATTATCTAACATGTATTTCTCCACAGTCATCTGAAAAGTATGAACTAAATAAGCACCCTACAAGTATGCTTTATTCTCTTCTTCTAGATGAAAGCTTAAGAATGTTTAATTCCCTATTCCATTCTTCCCCCCAAATTAGACCTCTAGGATGCTTTTACATTTCTCCACCGTCTTCTAACTCCTCAGTTTTGCTGACGTAGTTCAATACTTTTGGTTTTAGATTTATTAGCTTTTTCCCTTACCATATGTCTCTTCTATTTTAAGAATTCTTACTTAGCTGTTATGTTATGAATACCCAGTCACAATTCTTATCCATTTAGTTTTAACGTATATATTGCAAGGCTTATTGCACTCTTTTCTATTTATCTTCATGTGTCTTGAGATTTCTATTCTGATTCATATGTTGTTTGGTTCAAATACTTCTTGAGTAGTTTCCTCGGACAGGGTATAGGGGTGGTTTTATCTCTCATCTTTGAATATCCACAATTGTCTTTCTTCTAACCTGGAAGATGAATGATAACTTACTTGGTGGGGCATAGAATGCTTTGCTGCCAGTTCTTTTCTCTCTGTCCTCAACAGTCCAGTATCTTCCAGTTTCAGGTATTGAAGATGCAATGTAAAATGCCAGTCTGGATTATTTTTCTGCTGTAACTTGTTTCTTCTGGATATTTGAAAGATTTTCTCTTAATCTTTAGAATATAGGAAGTTTACCAAAATATGTCCGGTTGTATGACTTGTTTTGATTAACCTACCTGGACTTTAATGAGCCCTTCTATTCACAAACAAAATTCTTCAAACCAGGGAACTTTACTTGTGTTACTTCTTTTTTCCTAATCTCTATTTCTTTCCCCCTGAAGATTTCCCTCTCTGCATTTTGCTGCATATTTTCAGCTGTTTCTTCAATTTGATGTTAAAAGCCAGTTATTGTGGGCTCAAAGACAACATACTTTATTTAACTATTTTTTAATTTAAAAACATATTTTTACATTCTAGAATATGTTTTAAAGTTGATCATTCTTTTGTATTGCTTGTGTTAAAAGTTTTCTTCTATCTTCTCCAGCAACTTTATTCTAGGAGCCCCCTAGGTTTTAGGGCTCGACTTGTTTTTTCTGTCTTTGATTTGTGTACCCTTGAATACATTATTATTTCCCTTTGCCTAACAATGGCTCTGTATAGCCTTTGAGTGGTGAGGGGCCCAGGATTTTTTGCTCTGTGAGCTTTAAAAACACCATTGGTAAGCTTATTCACAACTTCTTGAGGCAAAAGGATTATTTTTGGTTAAAGTTATCTTTAGGGATATAGAGCAACTCTGACCATCTTTGTGTCTGTTTGGAAGTCTTCCACAAACACCAGATAGACCTCCTAGGACCACATATGTGGGCAGGCACTTAACTTTCAGCAAAGGCGAAGACCTCTCGGGGCCCTGTAAATTTTGGTCGTACCTTCTGAACCCCAAGCCACAGCACCTCCAATCTCCAGCAGCCCTAGCAGGGAACAAAACTGGTTATCTGATGCTTCCTTCTGGAATTCTGGCATATCCTATGGCCTTGCACATGTTATAAACTATCTAATCATCAGTCTAGTATTCATAGTGGGGGGTGGTGGGTGTCAGAGTTGGGAGATTAAAGCATCAGGGACACATTCTCAGGTGACCACATTTCCAACAAGTTAAATGGAAAGAATTTGTTTAATTTCAAAGTACAACTTTTTCAGAAAACTACAGAATCACGGTCTTACGTGTACTCTAATTGTGATATCTTGTTTTACAAATGAGGATCCTAAGACAGGAACTGTATTCTGTTTCTGTGTATTCAAATTGAATTTATAATCTGGGGGGTAGGGGGAAGAATGGCCATAGACAAGTTGTACATAGATAAGTTAAAATAGAAAAGTGAGAAGTTGAAATTTTGGCGAAAAGAAGAAAAACTTCAGGAAATTTGATATTGGGAAGGTATACAAATGAACAAATTAAGCAGATTGTGTTGTGACAGTGGTCTCTCTCTGGATACATTTGTTGTAGCCATCACCAAAGATTTCGAATCTCTTTCCAGAAAAATCTTTGGTCATATAGCTGTTTCTTTTAATTTCTCCCTTACTTCTGAAGGCATTAGGTCAATAAAGGAGGTAAACAGTTATTAGGTCAATAAAGTTACTTGGCTAACATGTGAAGTTTCATCAGTTGCCAGTCAAGCAGTAGCTAAATTAGGCAGTAGCTGGCTTTATGCAGAAATCTTACTTAGAAAATCCTTAATAAAAAAATCTTCTCCCCAGTTTATTAATTTTTTTTTTTTTTGAGACAGAGTTTCACTCTTGTTGCCCAGGCTGGAGTGCAGTGGCACAATCTTGGCTCACTGCAACCTCCACCTCCTGGGTTCAAGCAATTCTCCTGCCTCAGCCTCCCAAGGAGCTGGGATTACAGGCATGTACCACCATGTCTGGCTAATTTTGTATTTTTAGTAGAGACGTGTTTTCTCCATGTTGGTCAGGCTGGTCTCAAACTTCCGAACTCAGGTGATCAGACTGCCTCAGCCTCCTAAAGTGCTGGGATTACAGGCGTGAGTCACCGTGCCCAGCCCAGTTCCTTCTTAATTGAGTCTATTTCTACATTATTATTAGCAACTTGCAGCTCTTCTTAATTTCCTTTATACCCCTTGCCCAAGTTCCCTAAATCTCCTATTTGTAGCCAACAGGTCTGTTCCCCCTGATTTTCTCACTTAACACACAGTATTTCCATATCATACTTGCTAGGCTTAGTCTTCCTGAAACTTTTTCATAATGTTACTCGCTACAAATTTTTCAATGATGACTGGTTCAAAATCTGTCATCACTGACCACTATTTCTATTTTATCCTGAGCTCCATCCAAACTGGGCCACTCTGCTGCTGTCTATACTATCCTTTGCACTGCACCACCTCTGTTCCTTTTCTGGTTTCTTCCCTTCTTCTGGAGCATCCTCCTCTTCCATCTTTGCCTATTAAAATCTTACCCATCTGGCCAGGCCTCTTGGCTCACACCTGTAATCCAGCACTTTGGGAGGCTTAAGCAGGAAGATCGCTTGAGGCCAGGAATTCAAGACCAGCCTGGATAACATAGAGAGACACTGTCTCAGTGATCAATCAATCGAATCGAGTCGTACCTATCCTTCAAGGTCCATTCTAAACTTTACCTCATAGGATGTGATGGATGATACTGTGGTCATGTGCCAGATAACAACATTTATCGCAACAATGGACTGCAAATAGGACTGTGGTCCCATAAGATTAAAATGTTGTAATTTTACTGTACTTTTTCTATGTTTAGATATTTTAGATATGCAAACACTTACCATTGTGTTAAAATTGCCTACAGTATTCAGCACAGTAACATGCTTCACGGGTTTGTAGCCTAGGAGCAATGGGCTGTGTCATATAGCCTACATGTGTAGTAGGCTATATCATCTGGGGTTTTTGTAAATACACTCTGTGATGTTTGCATGATGACGGAATTGCCTAACAATGCATTTCTCATAATGTATCCCTGTCGTTAAGTGACACATGATGGTATTTATATATGTCAGATTACGAATTGCAAATTATGTCTTAGATAAAAAAGAAACAAATTTCAGGTAACAACAAGGACAAAAATAACAACAATAAAATGTAGAGCCACTAGCAATAGCTATCTTTACTGATGGCCTACTACTGTGTGAGAGATACTTGCAAAGGCCTCATACACAGTGCCACATGAACTGTACAACTTATATGTATTTTTACATATCTTTCTCCTTAAGATGATCATATGAGATATTTCTATTATTCTCATGTTACAGATGTAATAAATGAGGTATGTGAAAGGTGAAGAAATGTGCTTACAGTCAGTGAAATCCAGACAGCCTAGCCATAGATTTCAGGCTTAAATTTCAATTAGAATATGGAGAAAATGCATTTATCAAGGAATTTTGCCGAGATTCATTTGGAATAAATCTTATTCTTCAAAGAGAATGCACACATAACTTTTTAGAATGTAGCAGGTACCATGATGTGACTTATACTTGTATAGAAGAATGTCACCTCGGGAAAGATAATGGAGAAATTGTTATTTATAGGAATCATTATAGAACACAAAATGAAGTGGGGAGATTGGGAAGCTATTATACTAACCTAAGCAAGAGATAGTGTGATTTTAAACTAGTCAAGGCAGTGAGAATGCAAAGAAGAATTTGAATGCTTGAGATAAAGAAATTGAACATATTTGACCTGACATTTGAATGGATATGGGTAGGGAAAGATAATACTTAGGTAACTCAAATCCCCAAATTTTCTGTCTGCTGAACTCCACAAGATAAATCCTTTTAGAAAGAACCGCTAAAACATTGGGGTTTGAATTTTAAAAAGTGTTTACCTTGGAAGAATGATAAACAATTGATTTGAGTTTCAGATCAAGGCAACAGTTCAAATATATTTCTTCTCAGGAGATGCAAATCTCAGAGAATGCAGTTTCTACTGTTGTGTTTTGTTTCTTTTTGAAAGCTAAATTCATTCTTTGTGACGTTACTAATGTATTTGAAAATTATTTTTATATATTGTTTTAGAGAAATTTTTACATTTTTGAGTTTAGCAAATTTTGAAACTATTTTTATGCCCTATTGATTATCTATAATTTATACAGAGACTGGGCTCAGAGGATGTATTGGTCCAGAGGAAATGGTCAGTTTCCTGAGTATATTGTCCCAAGATGGTTTTTTTAACCTTTTTTTTTGAAACAGAGTTTCGCTCTTACTGCCCAGGCTGGAGTGCAGTGACGCAATCTCGGCTCACCGCAACCTCCACCTTCCGGGTTCAGGTGATTTTCCTGCCTCAGCCTCCCGAGTAGCTGGGATTACAGGCATGCGCCACCACGCCCAGCTAATTTTGTATTTTTAGTAGAGACGGGGTTTCTCCATGTTGGTCAAGCTGGTCTCGAAATCCTGACCTCGGGTGATCTGCCCGAGGCCTCCGAGGCCTCCGAAAGCGCTGGGATTACAGGCGTGAGCCACTGTGCCCGGCCTTCTTTAAACATTTTAAGGCAATATGTAGATATGAAAGTTGTGAAGTCTCTGATGCAAAAACGAAAAAAGCAGTGTGAAATCTAGGCCTTGGTATATGTAAAGAAAATAGTCCATAGATACGATTTTTTCATGTCCACTCTCCCCAGACAACAAAAAGTACAGAACCTATCATTCTTGTACCTTTCTTCCCAGGATGACTTCTCCACTTTTAAACAATAGCTACCCCCCTGCACCCATTATCTCTCAATATGTTCACCAGATGTACACGTACTGGTGCATCTCTGAGCTTTGGTTCTGGCTTTTCCCTGGCTTGGTGGGCCCCAACATATCCTGTTCACCTCTCAGCCTTTAAGGTCAAGCTGCTGCTCAATAGTAATGGCAGAATGAATGATTGTGACAAAACCTAAGCATGCAAATTGTAAAACTAAATTCATCCCCCAAATTACCAATTAGTAAATATTGTTGCCGTGAAAATGATTACATTGGGGTAACTGAACTTTCAGTGATACAGTGGCCTTACTTAAAGATTATCTAGTCTAATGCTTTTATTGAATAGTGGAGAAACCTGAGGCCCAGAGAAATTAAAGGATTTCTCTATATTTGAAATATTGGTAATGTCCTAGAACACAGATTCTTTTATTCCCATTTCAGTGCTCTTTTTACCACATCATATTGGAACCATTATTTAAGTGTATATAATGAAAAGCATCTTGTTTTTTTCATGTATATTGACAATGGATTTTTGCTTTGAATTTTAGACAAATAATGCATTTTAGTGTAACTAAATTGAAAGCACCAAACACTACTACTAATTTTAGTTTTGTTTAACTATTCAAATTTTGTAGGTTGTTTTAGACAAAAGCAGATAAAAAAATTATGTTGTACATTTACTTTAAATATTTTACCACTTTTTTTGGTAAGTTTATTTGCATTTTGCCATCCCATGTAAAGGTAGTTAACTAGTCACAATTCTCCCATTTAGTTAATCTCTTGAGGAAATTACTCAAATACTGTTTCTTATTCTATAAAATAAAATAGGTGATCTGGAATGATAGCTTAAAATTCTTTCTAGCTCTATATTTATCTGAATAAGAGCTATCTAAAACTTGAATTTTAAAATGCTGTCATACAAAGTACTTTTTTCCTAATACATTTTTGAGATAAGTAGGATATATAAAACATTGCTAATATATTGTGAAAATCTCTGGAAATGTCTTAAGTAATGTGAACTTTATTGTTGGTAATGCTGTTCTTTTTTTTTTTTCCCGAAGATAGGGCCTATTGTATTGCCCAGGCTGGAGTGCAGGCAGTGGTGTGATCTTGGCCCACTGCAACCTCTGCCTCCTGGGCTCAAGCAATGCTGTCACCTCAGCCTCCTAAGAAACTGGGACTATAGGTGTGTACCACCTCGCCCAGCTAATTTTTTTATTTTTTACAGAGATTAGGTTTCACCATCATCATGTTGCCCAGGCTGTTCTCGAACTCCTGGGCTCAAGCAATCCACCTG
Source organism: Homo sapiens (assembly GCF_000001405.40). NCBI lineage: Eukaryota > Metazoa > Chordata > Mammalia > Primates > Hominidae > Homo > Homo sapiens. The sequence goes on from NC_000002.12 coordinate 148,141,020, forward strand.
CCTCAGCCAACCAAACTGCTGGGATTACAGGTGTCAGGCACCGCGCCCAGCTGGTAATGCATTTTAAATTGACAAATTTAAAAGTGTAATCAGAATTAGCTGTAAAATAATTTTCACAATGTCAGACTAGGTGAATGTATTTATGAAGTATCCTTGAGATTGCTGTGGGTTTTGGAAAACCTACTCAATGTAAAGTTTCAGCCTGTATAGTAAAACAGAGCAAGGAAATACCTCTTTACCATTGAGACCTCTTGAAAATTCAAGCAAGATCTTCAGGTTCTTGCAATTGGAGACACTCCTACAAATAGGCCATCTTATCTGATTAACCTGATTAACCCCCAATAAACTCCACTAGTTGACAGGTCCTACCCACTCATTTCCTTTTGGTACTTCATTCTTAACACGAATAAATGTCCAACAATTCATTCCAACAGTAGTCTAATAATTGAAGGAAAGCATTTACCATGAAACAAAATGAAACAAATAGTATAATGGAATTTGGAGGAAACTGACAATGAAAGTTGTCAGAAAATTAAAATGCAATAAGGTGCTATTTAAATTTTTAAAATTATATCCACAGGCAGAGCTTTGAAATACAAAATATGATAACATAAGTAAAAACCAAAAGCCAGGCATGGTAGTTCATGCCTATTGTCCCAGCTACCCAAGAGGCTAAGGTAGGAGGATCACTTGAGCTCAGGAGTTTGAGGCTGCAGTCAGCTGTAAACATGCACTGAAGTCCAGCCTAGGTGACAGAGCAAGACCCCGTCTCAAAAAAAAAAAATGTTTTTAATAAAAATAAAAATTCAAGGCTGGGCACAGTGGCTTACATCCGTAATCCCACATTTTGGGAGGCTGAGGCAGGAGGATCTCTTGAGCCTAGGAATTCAAGGCTGCCATGACCTATGATTGTGCCACTGTACCCCAGCCTGGGCAACAGACCAAGGCACTGTCTCAATAATAATAATAATAAATAAAATACTTTGGAAACTTAAATAGGCTGGAAGAAAACCTATGGAGAACTCCTAGAAAAATAGGACAAAAAAACCGAAGCGATAAAAAGGCAGACAAAACCATGAGACTCAAGACTGAGAAGGCCTATCGTATTGCAAATGGGAGTCCCACAAAAGAAGAACCAAAACAATAGAGTGAATGAGACATGATCAAAGAAAGAATATGTTAAATTTTCTCAGAACTGAAGGATATGAGTCTGCACATTGAAAAAGCCCACTGAAATATCCAGCACGATAAATAATAAATACCCACACTCAGGAATATAATCACAAAATTTCATCATAATGGAGATAAAGAGAAGATTGTGAGGTGCTTCCTAAGGGCAAGGAATGTGGATGGGTCACATTCAGAGTAGTAGAATGGCATTGAACTTCTCAAATAATTTAAATTATGGAAGAGTTTCTTCAAAATTGTAAGGGAAACAAATTTTATTACATAGAATTCTATATCCAACCAAATCAAGTGTGGTGATAGAATAGAGAGAATACTACCCTCACACCCAAAAATACTTTCCTTGGACTGTTTCTTGGGAAACAACTGGAGAATGTGATTCAGTGAGATAAACAAGTAAATCAAGAAAGAGAAACACATAGACAAATGAAAGCAGGGTCCTATCCAGGAAAGGGGCAAAGAAAAGTACCAGCATGGCTGTTATTCAGCAAACTAAGAGCGAAACCAAGTCCAGATTGTACCCTAACAACAGAGCCTTCAGGAAGGAGCTCTCCAGGAAACTAAGGAAATTGATATGTTTGAACATATAAAAAAAATTGATACCCAGATAGCAGTGGTGTCGGAAGAGTATATAAAAATTGTACTAAGTACATATAAAACTAGGTGATTGAAAAAATAATGCAATTAGTAAATCCAGGAGAAATAATAGCCATGTTCCTAGTTCACTTTTGGGCCTATAATATTTATAAGTCATGATAATACAGACATTGACCATTCATTTAACCCAAAATTATGACATTACTTTGGCATTAGAGATGGGTAGAAATGGCAATTATACGGATGCAAAAGAGCTAAGTCTTTATATATGATGAGAAGTCAACCAATAGGGTTTAAAAAATTGTTAAGTGAAGAAGTAGAAGCACAGTAAGTCCCCACTTAATATCCTTGATAGGTTCTTGGAAAGTGCAACTTTAAACAACGTACAGCAGGTCCTCAAATAATATCCTTTCAGTTGGTTTCATTATACCTGGTTTTGCTTAAAGTCGCAATTTCCAAGAATGTATTGACTATGTTAAGTGAAGGTATAAGAATATCATTTAGAAATAGGCTAGTCCCAGAGAAAAAAGACAGAAAAGTTGAGGATGTTTGCCTCTGGAGACAGACAGAGTAGAGACAAACGTGGCAGAAGAATGCTGGTTTTTACTATGAGCCTATTAATATTATTTTACTTCATACACTATCTACATTGTATTATCTTGATAAAAATGAAATCAATTTTTTTTAATTATACTTTACGTTCTAGAGTACATGTGCACAATGTGCAGGTTTGTTACATACATATGTATATGCCATGTTGGTGTGCTGCACCCCTTAACTCGTCATTTACATTGGCTATATCTCCTAATACCCACAACAGGCCCTGGTGTGTGATGTTCCCCACCCTGTGTCCAAGTGTTCTCATTGTTCAATTCCAACCTATGAATGAGACCATAAGGTGTTTGGTTTTCTGTCCTTGCGACAGTTTGCTCAGAATGATGGTTTCCAGCTTCATCCAGGTCCCTACAAAGGACATGAACTCATCCTTTTTTATGGCTGCATAGTGTTCCATGGTGTATATGTGCTACATTTTCTTAATCCAGTCTATCATTGATGGACATTTGGGTTGGTTCCAAGTCTTTGCTATTGTGAATAGTGCCGCAATAAACATACGTGTGCATGTGTCTTCATAGCAGCATGATTTATAATCCTTTGGGTATATACCCAGTAATGGGATGGCTGGGTCAAATGGTATTTCTAGTTCTAGATCCTTGAGGAATCGCTACACTGTCTTCCACAATGGTTGAACTAGTTTACACCAACAGTGTAAAAGTGTTCCTATTTCTCCACATCCTCTCTAGCACCTGTTGTTTCCTGACTTTTTAATGATCGCCATTCTAACTGGTGTGAGATGGTATCTCATTGTGGTTTTGATTTGCATTTCTCTGATGGCCAGTGATGATGAGCATTTTTTCATGTGTCTGTTGGCTGCATAAATGTCTTCTTTTGAGAAGTGTCTGTTCATATCCTTTGCCCACTTGTTGATGGGGTTGTTTGTTTTTTTCTTGTAAATTTGTTTGAGTTCTTTGTAGATTCTGGATATTAGCCCTTTGTCAGATGAGTAGATTGCAAAAATTTTCTCCCATTCTGTAGGTTGCCTGTTCACTCTGATGGTAGTTTGTTTTGCTCTGCAGAAGCTCTTTAGTTTAATTAGATCCCATTTGTCAATTTTGGCTTTGGTTGCCATTGCATTTGGTGTTTTAGTCATGAAGTCCTTGCCCATGCCTATGTCCTGAATGGTATTGCCTAGGTTTTCTTCTAGGGTTTTTATGGTTTTATGTCTAACATTTAAATCTTTAATCCATCTTGAATTAATTTTTGTATAAGGTGTAAGGAAGGGATCCAGTTTCAGCTTTCTACATATGGCTAGCTACTTTTCCCAGCACCATTTATTAAATAAGGAATCCTTTCCCCATTTCTTGTTTTCGTCAGGTTTTTCAAAGATTAGATGGTTGTAGATGTGTGGTATTATTTCTGAGGGCTCTATTCTGTTCCATTGTTCTGTATCTCTGTTTTGGTACCAGTACCATGCTGTTTTGGTTACTGTACCCTTGTAGTATAGTTTGAAGCCAGGTAGCATGATGCCTCCAGCATTGTTCTTTTGGCTTAGGATTGACTTGGCAATGCGGGCTCTTTTTTGGTTCCATATGAACTTTAAAGTAGTTTTTTCCAATTCTGTGAAGAAAGTCATTGGTAGCTTGATGGGGATGGCATCGAATCTATAAATTACCTTGGGCAGTATGGCCATTTTCACAATATTTATTATTCCTATTCATGAGCATGGAATGTTCTTCCATTTGTTTGTGTCCTCTTTTATTTCGTTGAGCAGTTGTTTGTAGTTCTCCTTGAAGAGGTCCTTCACATCCCTTGTAGGTTGGATTCCTAGGTGTTTTGTTCTCTTTGAAGCAATTGTGAATGGGAGTTCCCTCATGTTTTGGCTCTCTGTTTGTCTGTTATTGCTTTATAGGAATGCTTGTGATTTTTGCACATTGATTTTGTATCCTGAGACTTTGCTGAAGTTGCTTATCAGCTTAAGGAGATTTTGGGCTGAGACGATGGAGTTTTCTAAATATACAATTATGTCATCTGCTAACACGGACAATGTGACTTCCTCTTTTCCTAATTGAATACCCTTTATTTCCTTCTCCTGCCTGATTGCCCTGGCCAGAACTTCCAACACTATGTTGAATAGGAGTGGTGAGAGAGGGCATCCCTGCCTTGTGCCTGTTTTCAAAGGGAATGCTTCCAGTTTTTGCCCATTCAGTACGATATTGGCTGTGGGTTTGTCATAAATAGCTCTTATTATTTTGAGATACATCCCATCAATACCTAGTTTATTGAGAGTTTTTAGCATGAAGGGGTGTTGAATTTTGTCAAAAGCCTTTTCTGCATGTATTGAGATAATCATATGGTTTTTGTCTTTGGTCTGCTTATGTGATGGATTACATTTATTGATTTGCATATGTCGAACCAGCCTTGCATCCCAGGGATGAAGCACACTTGATCGTGGTGGATAAGGTTTTTGATGTGCTGCTGGATTCGGTTTGCCAGTATTTTATTGAGGATTTTTGCATCGATGTTCATCAGGGATATTGGTCTAAAATTCTCTTTTTTTGGCTGTGTCTCTGCCAGGCTTTGGTATCAGGATGATGTTGGCCTCATAAAATGAGTTAGGGCGGATTCTCTCTTTTTCTATTGATTGGTACCATTCCTTCTAAAATCAATTCTAAAAATACAGTATCCCACCTTTTGTGAAAATAAGTTAATTGTATATTGATATGACACTGCAGAACATTTAACAACAACAACAAACTCTTTAGTTAATGCCCAATTTATTTTGGTTATGTAATTTATTGACCTACAGTTGTTTATAGTGAGCTTTTAATCTTATTACAGATATCTTATATATGATGAGTTTGTTTTTTCTTGCCACTTAGAAATTATCTCTTTGTCATTGCCATTTGTTTTGTTTTTTTGAGACAGGGTCTTGCCCTTTTGCCCAGGCTGAAGTACATATTATGATCATGGCTCACTGCAGCCTCAACCTCCCTGGCTCAAGTGATCCTCTCTATAGGTGTGCACCACACACCTGGCTAATTTTTTTATTTTTTATTTTATAGAGATTATATCTCCCTGTGTTGTCCAAGGTGATCTCTAACTCCTGGGCTCAAGTGACCCACCTGCCTCAGCCTCCCAAAGTGTTAGGATTATAGGCATGATCCACCCCGCCTGGCCTTGTATTTGCCTTTTGACATTTTAGTTTGATGTGTTTGGTTATGTATGTCTTTAATTTATACTATTTGAGTTTGTTGAGCTTCTTGGGTACTCATATTAAGGTTATTTTTTCAATTGTATTTGGGAGCTATTTAAAAAAATTATTATTACTGCCCCTTTCTGTTGCTTCTTCTGGGACTCCCTTATGCATTGTTGGGATGCTGGATGGTGTCCCACAGATATCTGAGGCTCTTTTAATTTTTTAATTGTATTTGCTTTTTGTTTCTTATATAAGATAGTCTCAATTAACCTGTCATTAGTTCATTGTCACCAAGTTCACTGATTCTTTCTTCTGTGTTCTGTGACCTCAAATATGCTGCCAGTCAGACATTCTAGTAAATATTTTGTTTCTGTTATTACCTTTTTCAACTCCAGGATTTCTATTCATTTCTTCTGAAAGATAATTTCTTTCTTTTTACTGTTATTTTCTATTTGGCAAGACATTATTTGTATACTTTAATTCATAGGCATAGTTTCTTTTAGTTCTTTGAACATATGTATTGTAGGTGGCTTAACATCTTTGTCTAATAAATCTAATATTTGGGTTTCCATGGGAACAGTTTCAGTCGGCTGCTATTTTCCCTTTGTATAAGCCACACTTTCCTTTTTGCATATATCATAATTTGTTGTCAAAACTGAACATTTTATTTATTTATTTTTATTTTATTTATTTTATTTTTTTTCTGAGACGGAGTCTCGCACTGTCACCCAGGCTGGAGTGCAGTGGGACGATCTTGGTTCACTGCAACCTCTGCCTCCTAGATTCAAGCGATTCTGTTGCCTCAGCCCCCGAGAAGCTGGGACTACAAGCATGCACCACCCCACCCTGCTAATTTTTGTATTTTTAGTAGAGACGAGGTTTCACCATGTTGGCCAGGCTGGTCTCAAACTCCTGAGCTCAAGTGATCCCCACCTCAGCCCCTCAAAGTGCTGGTATTACAGGTGTGAGTCACCATGCCCAGCCCCAAACTGAACATTTTAAGTAAATGTTAACTGTCAACTCTAAAAATTAGATGACCCCCTCCCCTCAGTTTGTTGTTATTTGGTTTTGTTGTTGTTGCTATGTGTTTTTTGAGTTATTTTTCCTTAAAACCTGTATTCTTTGTTGTGTGTGGCCACTAAAATTTCTGCTCTGTTACCTTTATGGTCAACTAATGATTAGTGGGAGATTAAGCCAGTACGTTTCCCTGCCTTTGTGAAGGGCCTGTGTGTGTGTGTTGGGTGATGACCTCAATGCTCCAGCAGACTGTTTACTACTCTGTCTTAGCCTTAGCCTTCACTTTCTGCTTGCACAGAGCCTCAAAGTCAGCCAGAGGTGAGAGCTTAGAGTTTTCTCAGGTCTTTTGTGATCATGCACAAGTCACCATACATGGCTCTATAGATTCCCAGAAATATGTTAGTCGTTTTTGTAGACCCCTATGAACATTTTACTCTCCAATTTTTTTCTTTGATTTTTTTGTAAGCCTCTTGTTAGCTCCAGCTATTAAAGCCATCTCCAACACCTGCATTGTTAAACAGTTGCCACTGATTATTTTTGACAAATATTCTGTAGGTAGCAATGGTTACATAAAGGCAGTTCTGAGTCAGCTGAAGTGAAGCCATGTCCTGAAAATGGAGCTTAGTGAGCTGCCAGATAGGTCAAATGGTGACTATTCTATGAGAATGGACATTTGGGAACTCCTAAAACTGTAGAATGTAGAATTTAAAAACTGTTCTAACCTCTTAGTGACTGCTCAGCTGCTAGTTTACACAGCTACCATAATAGTGAAGCTTTTGGCTTTTGGCCTACTATACAACTGGAGAAGAGGATGGGATTAGTGCAAATTAAAATGCCACAAGATTCGCTCTTCATATGGAAATTCAGCCACTTTTCTTGAATAAATATTCTTTGGATTATTTTAAGTTTTTAATTTCCAGAGTTCTGAAAAAGGTGATTTTGACAATGTTTGCCAGTGTTATTACCTCAAAGTTTCTAATTCAATAAATCTGAGTTAGGGCCTGGGAATTATTTTTCCTTTATTAATATTCTCCCTAGTCCTTTGTCTATTCCTTTTTAGATGTTTTTGTTCTTCTTCCTTTGCCTACTCCTTAAATATATGGTATTTCCCAATTTCTATGGGTTTTATAAATTCTCTTGATCCCTTATACATTGTCTATAGATATGACATGCTTGATAGAACCAGCTGAAACATTTTCCTTGTGCACCAGTTTAATGTCTCAGAGACAGCCCCTAATTTAGCATGTCTTAAAATGAACTTATCATCTTCTACATTTATTTTTCTCTCTATATGCCCTTGTGGGCAACACTGTACAGTTCTTCACTGAATCATTAATTAATTAAATAAATATTTCTTTATTTATTTTATTTTATTTTTAATTATACTTTAAGTTTTACGGTACATGTGCACATTGTGCAGGTTACTTACATATGTATACATGTGCCATGCTGGTGCACTGCACCCACTAAATCGTCATCTAGCATTAGGTATATCTCCCAATGCTATCCCTCCCCACTCCCCCCACCCCACAACAGTCCCCAGAGTGTGATATTCCCCTTCCTGTGTCCATGTGATCTCATTGTTCAATTCCCACCTATGAGTGAGAATATGCGGTGTTTGGTTTTTTGTTCTTGCGATAGTTTACTGAGAATGATGATTTCCAATTTCATCCATGTCCCTACAAAGGACATGAACTCATCATTTTTTATGGCTGCATAGTATTCCATGGTGTATATGTGCCACATTTTCTTAATCCAGTCTATCATTGTTGGACATTTGGGTTGGTTCCAAGTCTTTGCTATTGTGAATAATGCCGCAATAAACATACATGTGCATGTGTCTTTATAGCAGCATGATTTATAGTCCTTTGGGTATATACCCAGTAATGGGATGGCTGGGTCAAATGGTATTTCTAGTTCTAGATCCCTGAGGAATCGCCACACTGACTTCCACAAGGGTTGAACTAGTTTACAGTCCCACCAACAGTGTAAAAGTGTTCCTATTTCTCCACATCCTCACCAGCACCTGTTGTTTCCTGACTTTTTAATGATCGCCATTCTAACTGGTGTGAGATGGTATCTCATTGTGGTTTTGATTTGCATTTCTCTGATGGCCAGTGATGATGAGCATTTTTTCATATGTTATTTGGCTGCATAAATGTCTTCTTTTGAGAAGTGTCTGTTCATGTCCTTCACCCACTTTTTGATGGGGTTGTTTGTTTTTTTCTTGTAAATTTGTTTGAGTTCATTGTAGATCCTGGATATTAGCCCTTTGTCAGATGAGTAGGTTGCGAAAATTTTCTCCCATTTTGTAGGTTGCCTGTTCACTCTGATGGTAGTTTCTTTTGCTGTGCAGAAGCTCTTTAGTTTAATTAGATCCCATTTGTCAATTTTGGCTTTTGTTGCCATTGCTTTTGGTGTTTTAGACATGAAGTCCTTGCCCATGCCTATGTCCTGAATGGTAATGCCTAGGTTTTCTTCTAGGGTTTTGATGGTTTTAGGTCTAACATTTAAGTCTTTAATCCATCTTGAATTGATTTTTGTATAAGGTGTAAGGAAGGGATCCAGTTTCAGCTTTCTACATATGGCTAGCCAGTTTTCCCAGCACCATTTATTAAATAGGAAATCCTTTCCCCATTGCTTGTTTTTCTCAGGTTTGTCAAAGATCAGATAGTTGTAGATATGCGGCGTTATTTCTGAGGGCTCTGTTCTGTTCCATTGATCTATATCTCTGTTTTGGTACCAGTACCATGCTGTTTTGGTTACTATAGCCTTGTAGTATAGTTTGAAGTCAGGTAGTGTGATGCCTCCAGCTTTGTTCTTTTGGCTTAGGATTGACTTGGCGATGCAGGCTCTTTTTTGGTTCCATATGAACTTTAAAGTATTTTTTTCCAATTCTGTGAAGAAAGTCATTGGTAGCTTGATGGGGATGGCCTTGAATCTGTAAATTACCTTGGGCAGTATGGCCATTTTCACGATATTGATTCTTCTGACCCATGAGCATGGAATGTTCTTCCATTTGTTTGTATCCTCTTTTATTTCCTGGAGCAGTGGTTTGTAGTTCTCCTTGAAGAGGTCCTTCACATCCCTTGTAAGTTGGATTCCTAGGTATTTTATTCTCTTTGAAGCAATTGTGAATGGGAGTTCCCTCATGATTTGGCTCTCTGTTTGTCTGTTGTTGGTGCATAAGAATGCTTGTGATTTTTCTACATTCATTTTGTATCCTGAGACTTTGCTGAAGTTGCTTATCAGCTTAAGGAGATTTTGGGCTGAGACAATGGGGTGTTCTAGATATACAATCATGTCATCTGCAAACAGGGACAATTTGGCTTCCTCTTTTCCTAATTGAATACCCTTTATTTCCTTCTCCTGCCTGATTGCCCTGGCCAGAACTTCCAACACTATGTTGAATAGGAGTGGTGAGAGAGGGCATCCCTGTCTTGTGCCAGTTTTCAAAGGGAATGCTTCCAGTTTTTGCCCATTCAGTATGATATTGGCTGTGGGTTTGTCATAGATAGCTCTTATTATTTTGAAATACGTCCCATCAATACCTAATTTATTGAGAGTTTTTAGCATGAAGGGTTGTTGAATTTTGTCAAAGGCTTTTTCTGCATCTACTGAGATAATCATGTGGTTTTTGTCTTTGGCTCTGTTTATGTGCTGGATTACATTTATTGATTTGCATATATTGAACCAGCCTTGCATCCCAGGGATGAAGCCCACTTGATCATGGTGGATAAGCTTTTTGATGTGCTGCTGGATTTGGTTTGCCAGTATTTTATTGAGGATTTTTGCATCAATGTTCATCAAGGATATTGGTCTAAAATTCTCTTTTTTGGTTGTGTCTCTACCCAGCTTTGGTATCAGAATGATGCTGGCCTCATAAAATGAGTTAGGGAGGATTCCCTCTTTTTCTATTGATTGGAATAGTTTCCGAAGGAATGGTACCAGCTCCTCCTTGTACCTCTGGTAAAATTCGGCATGAATCCATCTGGTCCTAGACTCTTTTTGGTTGGTAAACTATTGATTATTGCCACAATTTCAGATCCTGTTATTGGTCTATTCAGAGATTCAACTTCTTCCTGGTTTAGTCTTGGGAGAGTGTATGTGTTGAGGAATTTATCCATTTCTTCTAGATTTTCTAGTTGATTTGTGTAGAGGTGTTTGTAGTATTCTCTGATGGTAGTTTGTATTTCTGTGGGATCGGTGGTGATATCCCCTTTATCATTTTTTATTGCGTCTATTTGATTCTTCTCTCTTTCTTTCTTTATTCGTCTTGCTAGCGGTCTATCAATTTTGTTGATCCTTTCAAAAAACCAGCTCCTGGATTCATTAATTTTTGAAGGGTTTTTTGTGTCTCTCTTTCCTTCAGTTCTGCTCTGATTTTAGTTATTTCTTGCCTTCTGCTAGCTTTTGAATGTGTTTGCTCTTGCTTTTCTAGTTCTTTTAATTGTGATGTTAGGGTGTCAATTTTGGATCTTTCCTGCTTTCTCTTGTGGGCATTTAGTGCTATAAATTTCCCTCTACACACTGCTTTGAATGCATCCCAGAGATTCTGGTATGTTGTGTCTTTGTTCTCGTTGGTTTCAAAAACATCTTTATTTCTGCCTTCATCTCGTTATGTACCCAGTAGTCATTCAGGAGCAGGTTGTTCAGCTTCCATGTAGTTGAGTGGTTTTGAGTGAGATTCTTAATCCTGAGTTCTAGTTTGATTGCACTGTGGTCTGAGAGATAGTTTGTTATAATCTCTGTTCTTTTACATTTGCTGAGGAGAGCTTTACTTCCAAGTTTGTGGTCAATTTGGAATAGGTGTGGTGCGGTGCTGAAAAAAGTGTATATTCTGTTGATTTGGGGTGGAGAGTTCTGTAGATGTCTATTAGGTCCGCTTGCTGCAGAGCTGAGTTCAATTCCTGGGTATCCTTGTTGACTTTCTGTCTCGTTGATCTGTCTAATGTTGACAGTGGGGTGTTAAAGTCTCCCATTATTAATGTGTGGGAGTCTAAGTCTCTTTGTAGGTCACTCAGGACTTGCTTTATGAATCTGGATGCTCCTGTATTCGTTGCATATATATTTAGGATAGTTAGCTCTTCTTGTTGAATTGATCCCTTTACCATTATGTAATGGCCTTCTTTGTCTCTTTTGATCTTTGTTGGTTTAAAGTCTGTTTTATCAGAGACTAGGATTGCAACCCCTGCCTTTTTTTGTTTTCCATTTGCTTGGTAGATCTTCCTCCATCCTTTTATTTTGAGCATATGTGTGTCTCTGCACGTGAGATGGGTTTACTGAATACAGCACACTGATGGGTCTTGACTCTTTATCCAATTTGCCAGTCTCTGTCTTTTAATTGGAGCATTTAGTCCATTTACATTTAAAGTTAATATTGTTATGTGTGAATTTGATCCTGTCATTATGATGTTAGCTGGTTATTTTGCTGGTTAGTTGATGCAGTTTCTTCCTAGTCTCGATGGTCTTTACATTTTGGCATGATTTTGCAGCGGCTGGTACCGATTATTCCTTTCCATGTTTAGCGCTTCCTTCAGGAGCTCTTTTAGGGCAGGCCTGGTGGTGACAAAATCTCTCAGCATTTGCTTGTCTGTAAAGTATTTTATTTCTCCTTCACTTATGAAGCTTAGTTTGGCTGGCTATGAAATTCTGGGTTGAAAATTCTTTTCTTTAAGAATGTTGAATATTGGCCCCCACTCTCTTCTGGCTTGTAGGGTTTCTGCTGAGAGATCCACTGTTAGTCTGATGGGCTTCCCTTTGAGGGAAAACTGACCTTTCTCTCTGGCTGCCCTTAACATTTTTTCCTTCATTTCAACTTTGGTGAATCTGACAATTATGTGTCTTGGAGTTGCTCTTCTCGAGGAGTATCTTTGTGGCGTTCTCTGTATTTCCTGAATCTGAACGTTGGCCTGCCTTGCTAGATTGGGGAAGTTCTCCTGGATAATATCCTGCAGAGTGTTTTCCAACTTGGTTCCATTCTCCACATCACTTTCAGGTACACCAATCAGACGTAGATTTGGTCTTTTCACATAGTCCCATATTTCTTGGAGGCTTTGCTCATTTCTTTTTATTCTTTTTTCTCTAAACTTCCCTTCTCGCTTCATTTCATTCATTTCATCTTCCATCACTGATACCCTTTCTTCCAGTTGATCGCATCAGCTCCTGAGGCTTCTGCATTCTTCCCGTAGTTCTCGAGCCTTGGTTTTCAGCTCCATCAGCTCCTTTAAGCACTTCTCTGTATTGGTTATTCTAGTTATACATTCTTCTAAATTTTTTTCAAAGTTTTCAACTTCTTTGCCTTTGGTTTGAATGTCCTCCCGTAGCTCAGAGTAATTTGATCGTCTGAAGCCTTCTTCTCTCAGCTCGTCAAAGTCATTCTCCATCCAGCTTTGTTCCGTTGCTGGTGAGGAACTGCGTTCCTTTGGAGGAGGAGAGGCGCTCTGCGTTTTAGAGTTTCCAGTTTTTCTGTTCTGTTTTTTCCCCATCTTTGTGGTTTTATCTACTTTTGGTCTTTGATGATGGTGATGTACAGATGGGTTTTGGTGTGGATGTCCTTTCTGTTTGTTAGTTTTCCTTCTAACAGACAGGACCCTCAGCTGCAGGTCTGTTGGAGTACCCTGCCGTGTGAGGTGTCAGTCTGCCCCTGCTGGGGGGTGCCTCCCAGTTAGGCTGCTCGGGGGTCAGTGACCCACTTGAGGAGGCAGTCTGCCCGTTCTCAGATCTCCAGCTGTGTGCTGGGAGAACCACTGCTCTCTTCAAAGCTGTCAGACAGGGACATTTAAGTCTGCAGAGGTTACTGCTGTCTTTTTGTTTGTCTGTGCCCTGCCCCCAGAGGTGGAGCCTACAGAGGCAGGCAGGCCTCCTTGAGCTGTGGTGGGCTCCACCCAGTTCGAGCATCCTGGCTGCTTTGTTTACCTAAGCAAGCCTGGGCAATGGTGGGCGCCCCTCCCCCAGCCTGGCTGCCGCCTTGCAATTTGATCTCAGGCTGCTGTGCTATCAATCAGCGAGACTCCCTGGGCTTAGGACCCTCTGAGCCAGGTGCGGGATATAATCTCATGGTGTGCCTTTTTTTAAGCTGGTCGGAAAAGCGCAGTAATCGGGTGGGAGTGACCCGATTTTCCAGGTGTGTCCGTCACCCCTTTCTTTGACTGGGAAAGGGAACTCCCTGACCCCTTGCGCTTCCCAAGTGAGGCAATGCCTTGCCCTGCTTCGGCTCGCGCACGGTGCACACACCCACTGACCTGCGCCCACTGTCTGGCACTCCCTAGTGAGATGAACCCAGTACCTCAGATGGAAATGCAGAAATCACCCATCTTCTGCGTCGCTCACGCTGGGAGCTGTAGACAGGAGCTATTCCTATTCGGCCATCTTGGCTCCTCCCTAAATAAATATTTATTGAGTTCTTATGAGGTTCTATAGGCCCTGAAGGTGCAATAGTGATATAAAGAAACAAACAAATATTTACCTCTCCAGAAAGGTATATTTCTAGTGAAAGAGACAAAGCAAATAATTAAAATATGTTGTGTGTCTGATATTGACAAATTCTTTGGAGAAAAATGAGCGGGAAAGATTGCTAAGGAGAGCCAAGATGAGGATAAAAGTTGCAGTTCTAAGTAGGATGCTTAGGGAAGTCATCACTGAAAAGTTACCATTTAAGCAAAGATCTGAGGAGGTGATAGATCAAGTCACGTGGGTACCTGGGGGAAGACTGTTACAGGATGAGGAAACAGCAGCTGCTCAGTGTGAGGCAGGAGTGTACCTGGCATTTTGGGAAAATGATGAGGTAGCCATTGTGCCTGGCTTCAGCGATAGGAGAGAGCTCAGACAGGTAATGGGAAACATGATTGTCTTGGTCCTGAATTCCTGTTTTCTTAAAAATTGGGAACTGTCCTTCAGAGATTAAGTAATTTATATCATTCTTCTCTTTGTCCTTTGTCCTCCACATCTTGTAAGTTATCACATTTTATTGATTCCAACTCCTATGTTACTCTTCTGCCTATGCTCTTCTTCATCCTTGATACTTTTGCCTTCATTTGGGCTTTTATCATGGTCACCCAGCTGGTCTGCTGCCAGGCTCACATGCCGTATTCAACACTCATTCACAAGAGATTTATTGAATACCTTCTGTGTTCTAGGTCCTGTGCTAGATATTGTGGATATAATGGTTATTAAACTTGAAATGATCATTGCCCTTAGAAAACTCATAGTAACTGGTTTATAGAGACTGTTAATGACATAGAGCAGTGTAATAAGCACTTTGAGGGCAAGCACTCTTAGTAGCACATGGGAGGCTGGTAGCTCTGATTTATGAGTGCGAACTCTCCAGAGTAAGCTATACTCCTGTTACTATCTGAAAGATAAGAGGGAGTTATACCTTCAGAGAGAAAAGAAACACTGTCCAAACGAAGGGACCACTTGTACAAATGCCCAGAAAATGGAAATGAAAGCAGTTTACTGTTACCAGATACAGCATAGGGGAAAGTGGCTCAAAATCATCCCGGACAGGTACAAAAGAGCCAGATCATACATGATATCTTTAGGCCCTATTAAAGTATTTGGTTGATTAAATGATTTGGTTGACCAAAACGATAATTTTAAACAATCATACAATAATTTATCTCCCAGAATTAAAACCGACCAATGATTCCCTGCTGACTTTAGATTAAATTTAAACTGTATAACATAGCACCTGAGGTGCTTTAATCTGGCTTTTGCCTCTTCAACATCAGCTCCCACAGGCCCCACTTGTCTGTTTGTACACTAACAGGAAAGAACTGCTTATAACTACTCCCCAGAAGAAACATCTCAAGTCTCCAGGCCACAACAGATTCTAAGAGTGCTCTTTCGTCCCGCCAACCTCATGAATTCATATTTGTCCTTCAAAATTAATCTCAGATATCATCTTCTGTAAGAATCTTTTCCTGAAAATTCAAATAGAGTTAATCATGTCCTCTTCTGTGATACCAACACTTCTGTATGATCTTTTCTTGCAGTTATCATAATCTACAAAACCTGTTTACATGTTTAACTTCTCCACTAGTGTGAGCTCTTTGAGAGTCTGTGGATTTTTTTAGTTTTTATTTTTTGTCTGTGCATATTTTAGCATAGCGCCTTTCACTTAGCCAAAGTTAATAAATAGTGAATTTAGTTACTCTAATAGAAGGCTTGGTTAATTTTGACCAAAAACTAATGATAATTATTTATAGGAAATAACATAAACTTATAGGTCATTTAAATCACAAGACTGTGATAGTGCTCAGCACACTTGTTATTTATTGAATGATAGCCAACCTTATTATAATATAATTTTCATGAGAACAGAAAGCTTATCTGCCTATTGACTGCTCCTCTTCCATAGCTAGCACAGTTCCTGGCACATAGAAAGATACTTCATAAGTGCTTGTCCCTATCACACTTGGTACATTATTATAGTTTATACGATTTTTAAAATTCTTTACTTTCAGTCACATAGCAATATGGTCACCATTAAATATTTAAATAATTTTGTAAGTTATTATTTGAATCAAAACATCTGTTCATTTTTGTTTTACTTTTTTATTTCTTTTTTTATTATTATTATACTTTAAGTTCTGGGATACATGTGCAGAATGTGCAGGTTTGTTACATAGGTATACATGTGCCCTGGTGGTTTGCTGCACCCATCCACCTGTCATCTACATTAGGTATTTCTCCTAATGCTCTCCCTCCCCTAGCCCCCCACCCCCAAACAGGCCCCAGTGTGTGATGTTTCCCTCCCTGTGTCCATGTGTTTTACTATAATAATGCTTTAAATTTTCAATTTCTGGTTATTGTTTTTTTAAAAGCATGGTATTTTATCATAGACAATAGGTTGTCTTCTCCAAAGTGAGTACTTAAGTCCTAAAAGCATGAAACTACCTTCTAGGCACTTCAGAGACCTTGAGCAGTGTCTCTCATCCAGCCCAAGCTCAGGTATTCCTTACATAGCAGCCTGCAAAGCATCCGCCATAAAAACTACTACAAATGCCTCATAGATAACATCTCAGAATTATCTCATCACTGGGGGCAGTTCTGAAAAGAAGAAACTTAGATAGCAAGTAAATATTTTTAAAAGGTAAAGCCTTGCCAGTAATCACTGAAATTGAAGAACTAGGATATATTAAACCTTTCTCACTATCAAAGATTTTTTATTTTTTTGATACTAATAATACACATAGAAGTAAGTGTGCTATGAAATGGGCTCTCTCAGGTGCCACTGGTGAAAGTGTAAATTGGATTAACTTTTTTATTCCAGAGGACAGTTTAACAATATATATTGAAAACATTTAAAATGTTCATACTCATTAATATCTCAAAAATATTCATCACGATGGAAATGTTTTAGAACTAGATAGAGGTGGTGGTTACACAATATTGCGAATGTATTAAATGTCATTGAATTGTGCACTTTAAAATGGTTAATTTTACATTATATGAATTTCATCTCAAATTATTTTTTAATAATTATCCTAACAAAATAATATGCTAGCATTAATTAGAATGTTAATTTCAGCATTATTTACAATAATAAAAATTTAAAAATAAAATAAATGTTTAATAGAATAGTGATTATATATGATCCATCATATGCTAGAATACTGTGCAACCATTGAAAATAATATTTTAAGGGATTTTTAATGATATGGGGAAGTGCTCAAGAGAAAATGTCATGAAAAATGTTGAATATAAAAGTATGCAATTAGACAGTTATGCAAAACAAGCATACACAGCAAAAGACCTAAAGAAAATTATAAGTATTACTTGAACGCCTTTAAGCACATGAAGCCCTTGTCTCAGAGGTTTAAATGGCAGGTTTTTCTTTAAGTCTCTTGCTTCTTTAAGACTTTTGGCCATTTGGGACTCTGATTTTGTCAATGGTCTACTCATTATACCCAGAGCCTAAACCTTCGTGGTACGAAGAGCCAGGACAAGAGAAAACGTTACTAGTATACCAACTTGGGAGGTTATACTTGGCCGTTTATACTGTCATTTAACTATAAATGGATTAAGTATGATTTGGAGGACTAGCTTAGAGCATCAAAGATATTGAATATTTACCATGTGTCTGACCATATACTAGATATGTTCACATCCATTATTTCCTGTAATTTTTGTTTGTTTGTTTGTTTTATTTATTTATTTTTGAGACGGAGTCTCGCTGTGTCTGCCAGGCTGGAGTGCAGTGGCGCAATCTCAGCTCACTGCAAGCTCCGCCTCCCGGGTTCAAGTCATTCTCCTGCCTCAGCCTCCAGAGTACCTGGCGCTACAGGCGCCCGCCACCATGCCTGGCTAATTTTTTTTGGTATTTTTAGTAGAGACGGGGTTTCATCGTGTTAGCCAGGATGGTCTCGATCTCCTGACCTTGTGATCTGCCCGCCTTGGCCTCCCAAAGTGCTGGGATTACAGGCGTGAACCACCGTGCCCGGCCCCATTATTTCCTGTAATCTTTATAAAAACACGGTAAAGTAAAAAACTGCTTTTCTACCTACTTTACAGATGGAGAAACAAAAAGGGCCATTGACTTTCTCTGGGTTACACAGGTAGTTAGTTAATCAAGACTCAAACACTCTTATTCTGTTTCCAAATCCGTGCTTGTTCTCATGTACCACATAGCTGTTATTCCTCTATGCCACACTGGACATGACAGCACAAAGCCTCAAATACAAACAGTCCTCATTTTGCAGATAAGTTGTCTTCTAATTATACTTGTTTTGTTGTTGTTGTTGTTGTTGTTATTGTTTTGAGACAAGGTTTCACTCTGTCTCCCAGGCTGGAGTGCAGTGGTACGATTGGCTCACTACAACCTCCACCTCCCAGGCTCAAGGGATCCTCCAGCCTCAGCCTCATGCCCAGCTAATTTTTTTGTAATTTTTGTAGAGATAGGGTTTCACCATGTTTCCCAGCCTGGTCTTGAGCTCCTGAGCTCAAGCGATCCACCTGCCTTGGACTCCCAAAGTGCTGGGTTTACAGGCGTGAGTCACCACACCCTACCCTAACTATATTTCTCAATTAGAAGTATATATATGTAATGCTTTTTCTCATAGGTATAGCATTATACTCATTAAGACTCAACCCCCAAGAGTGTTTCTCAGGTCTGAATTGGCAAATAACTCAAAACTCATAATGCCTCTTCCGTGACAATTCCTAATATTTAGTTAAGCTTTCCCTTTGCAGGTACTAACCCTTTCAATCCCCTCAACAACTCTAGTAAATATGAGCATTATCTCTGTTTTCATAAAAGAAAGCTGAAGTACAAAGTCAGACAGGTAATTGGTACCAAAACCAAGATTTGGATCCAGGCAGTCTGAACTTGCACTGGCTTTAGTACCCTTCTTAACATGGTGTTTCAGGCAGCAATCAAAATTGGCACTCAAGAAGAAATCTATGTGCTATGTAAAATTTGTCTGTGTTCTGAAAGTGTGTGATGCACACTGGCTCTCAACCCTGGCTGCACATCAGAAACACCTGTGGGGTTTTCTAGACATATAGAACCCAAACCCAGCTATGGAAATCTGCTCCACAGAGGCCGGGTGCGGTGGCTCACGCCTGTAATCCCAGCACTTTGGGAGGCCGAGGCGGGCAGATCACAAGGTCAGGAGTTTGAGACCAGCCTGGCCAACATGATGAAACCCCGTCTCTACTAAAAATATAAAAATTAGCCAGGCATGGTGGCGGGTGCCTGTAATTCCAGCTACTTGGGAGGCTTAGGCAGGAGAATCACTTGAACCCAGGAGGTGGAGGTTGCAGTGAGTGAGATAGCACCACTGCACTCCAGCCTGGGTGTCAGATCAATACTCCATCTCAAAAAAAAAGGTGCATCACAGATTATTTTGGTGTGGTATATAAGGTAGTTATGAAAATGTGGAAATGTACCTGGATATTACAATAAACAATGAGTAGTGTGGCCATTATGTGCTATAAAGAACAATCATAGCTTTTGGAATCAGGTGAGAAAGCTTCCTAGAGGTGATGGCATTTTGAGTGGTCATGTGAAATATGAGGGAAACTGTTGAGTAGGATCATTTCAAGGGATAGGATATACTGTAGGAGATACCTTTGAGAAGGATAAGCAGAAGAGATTTATATGTTTTTTCACTGAAAATTATAATTAGGGATGAACTTGCATCTTAGCCCCTTAGTATTTGATTTTTAAATCTTAGTCCACCGAATTTTAATTTGCCTTATATCAGTTCTTTAAGAATTACAAAGGAGTTAATAATCCTTCCCTCCTTTTAGCTTGCATGGCATTTTATTTGTACCTCTACTTTTATAGTGATTTGTGTGTATTTGATATCCTCAACTCTGTGTTCTTAAAACACCCAAGAGTACCTAAACTTGCTTTGCACGTAGTAGGAGTTCAAAATATTATTATATTGAATTATGGGAGAAGACTCATTTTCTTGCACATACTGCCTTCTACCTTTTCTTCTGTGTACTCTCTGCAAAAAGTAAATCACAACCATGAGTCAGTTTCACAGCTACAAATATTGGTCCTGGTACCGATATATAGTTTACATACACTTAACTTTTTCACTGATACATTTAGCTTTCAAGAAATTACTACTCTTTAATAAACCCACATCAGTGGGCAATATGTGACCACAAACACCCCTATCTTAGGCTTAACCATCCAGTCTGTTTTAGCCATCCATTCAGCTGTGAGCTCTAATCCAGAGTGGGACATTGAGCAAAGTGAAGATCCAGAAATAACCCATTGGACTTAGCATCTCATTGACCAAAGAAGCTCTGGCATTATGGGGATGCTGGGATCTGGATCTGAGCCCTCCTGGTCAGCATCTTTATGCTGAGGACTATGAATAGGGACCAAGAAAGACTTTAAAGCTAAGGAAAAATTTGAAGCTTAATAAGAAAAATCTTACTTAGATTGAGGAAGTGTTGTCCACACAGAGAAAGTATTTGTGGATCCTCCAAATGACTTTAATCCATACTTTTTTTTTCTTAATAGTATCTTCCTTCACGTTGCAGTAGGAGTGTAGCCGTTTACTAGGGGAACAGACAGGCTGATTATTTGGGACAATGTTTCACATCCTTGACTCTTGTTCTGGTGGATGTTTGTTCTTGCTATAATTTGGATCATACCAGGAACTGTAAGGATTATTTCTTGAAAGAGTCAGAGCATAGACTGATATTATTATTCTTTGAATTTTTCTATGTCTTCTAGTATCCTGATACCAGGCTCTTATTTTGTTAGCATTTTGAATTGAGAACTTACAAACTACATTACTGTAACAATACTTAGCTATTGTTAGTGTATTTTCAGCTAGTTTGCCAAAATTTCGCCAACATTTAGGGCTAAATTTACTTTGTCAGAACTATCACTGTGGTAATTATGGATGTTTAATGGTTTTGCTAATGTAATAAGTGATGTGAGTGGTCTGCTCATATGGTTTGAAATCCCTTGCCATTTTGTGCACACCTGCCTTCCAAAGGCCAGCTCCTCCACCTAAGCTGTAAGACTGCCTTTGAGCTAGTAGAAGCCACTAGGGGAAGACCTTAAGCAGTGATTGGCAGGTTTCAGCATATAAATACACTAACTTCTTTGGCCCTTACTTAGCCAATTCTAAGGCATGTGCCTACACTATTTGTCAAGAGTTTCCTCTACAGGATTAAGCTTCAGTTGGCGCCTGTGATTGCTATCTTAATATATTAGCTGCCTTCCCTTCTGTTATCATGTTCCCCACCCCCCTGTCCATTTACTGAGACCCTCCCAAATAACTTATCTTCACTCATTCATTGTCTCAGAGTCAGCTTCTGGAGGAACTCCAACTAAGACAACTACCTAATTAACCCAACGATTAGAATTATTCACATTTAGGCTGATGTTAATTTATTTTACACTGTCATGATAAATTGTTTAGAAAAAATTGACAATTTTTCTAAATTGCTGTAAGGGTGATCTGTTTGAATTTATTTGAGATTTAAAATATTTAGGATGACATCTCTTTTCTTTTTTTGTGACACAAAATTGTTAAAATTACTGGCTATCAAATACTAGTAAAAATTAGCAATAGTGTGTGAGTAAAAGGGTGTTACATGGTCACTTATTAGCATTCTAAACACAACTTTTAGTAAAATCAATATAAGTAATAAAGTCTTAGGAAAAATACATTCTAACAAACAAAAAAGAATATAATTCTAACAAAAAGTTTATGGAGATCTATAGTCTAAACTAAAATGAACCTTAATACCTCTAAAATGCTCAAATATTAATGTTTAGGGGCACCTAAAATGCTAAAGAATTGAAAACAATAAAAAATGGCAAATAAATAAGATCCTAAGACAGTAAAAACTAATATTCAGAGAACTTAATGTACCAAATAAACTAATAAAATACTTAACAGCCACCTTGATACTAAAAGTAAGTTGTAATAAAATGCTCAAATGAAAGTATTAAGACAATCCACTTTATGTCTCCACCCATCTTATCTGTCTCAGCCTGCTTTTCCTCAAACCACCAGCATGTTAAGATAATTCAGTATACTTTTCTTGTTCTTTTGCTTAATTTGACCAGTTTTGTTTATATCACAAGTTGAGAAACTGCCACATATTTTTTCTAAATGTTTTGGTTTTTAAAAAATGTTCTTTTATAATTCAAATAACTCCAAAGACATTATAGTGTAATGAATAGGATCATAGGTCTTGGAGCCTAAGCCTGGACTTTAGGCCCATTCCTGGGTCCAATCCTGGCTCTGCCACTTTCTTGCTAAGTGACCCAAAGCACTTTACTTCTTCTCTTAGCTTTGATTTCCATCGGTTAATTTGCGGATGATCAGAGCATACTATCCATAAAGTTGCTTTGAGAATTAAATAACTTTTTTTTTTTCAAGACGGAGTTTCGCTCTTGTTGCCCAGGCTGGAGTTCAATGGCGTGATCTTGGCTCACTGCAACCTCCCAGGTTCAAGCGACAATCCTACCTCAGCCTAGCAAGTAGCTGGGATTACAGGCATGTGACACCACGCCTGGCTAATTTTGTATTTGTAGTACAGATGGGGTTTCTCCATGTTGGTCAGGCTGGTCTGGAACTCCCAAGCTCAGGTGATCTGTCTGCCTCAGCCTCCCAAAGTGCTGGGATTTACAGGCGTGAGCCACCATGCCCAGCCGAGAATTAAATAACTTAAATGTACAGTATTTAGAATAGCGCTTGGTATGTATGAATGTTCAATAAATGTTCATTTTTTTCATGTAGAAAACAATGTATTATGGGTAAAATTAGACTTTATAAAGTTGAGTTGAGATAAAAACTGAGATAAAAAGTGGTTGACATATGTAACCACTTTTATATAATGATTAGTATGGGGAAAATGCATTCTAATTACCAGACTACTGACTTCAAAAATGAGTGTTTGAAACACAACTTGTTTGTAAAATACTACATCTTTTACTAATTTTTTCATGTAGTGTTTACTATTTTTCTAGTAAGGCAAAGTGAATGATATGCCTACTGTGTGCTAATCAGCACTTTCATGTCATTGCATGTAATCCACAAACAGTCCTACTAGGTAGCTAGTAAGAACTTCATTTAAAAGGAGGAAGTTGGAACTTTAGAAGGGTCCAGTGATTTATGCAGATAGTAGCTGTTGTAATGTAGCCTCTATAACTCCAAGCTCAAAGCTTCTGCTACTATCTTCTGTTATTAACAGGGGAGAGGTTTGATACATGTAACAACTGTTATGCTACAGGCACCAACCATTCTGGCATTATAGTGGATGCCAGAATACTAGAGGATCCCTGTTGCACCAGGTGTTAACCTTAGGGTATATGGAGGTGTCTTGGTGGGGGTAGGGTCCATAGAGAAGGGGACATTTGGAGAGCTTGGAGCAGTGCCCATTTTCCAACCAGTATTTAAGTATTATATTATTTAGTATTTTAGCAACTAGTACAGCCACACTGTTCTTTCTGACCAAACATTAGCCATATAAAAATTTTGATATAACTAGTGTTATAATTAAGTATAAGAAAAAATTTAAAGACCATATTAATTTTTGTTTTCATGTTTTTTTCTACAAGACGTTTTTAGGACCAGGCATAATTGAGAATTTCTTCCTTGTAATTCTTGCTAAACTATAAGTACATAAATATTTGGTCCTGTTTCACTTACATTGATTGATTAATCACTGATTGTTTCAGTTCATTTCCTGTTGCCATAACAAGAATACCTGAGACTGGGTAAATGATAAGAAAAGATAATTATTTCTTACAGTTCTGAAGGCTAGGAAGTCCAAGACTGAGCAGCCAACATGTAGTGAGGGCCTTCTTGCCTTTATTATTTTCAGCCATTTTTTAAAAACTTTATGAACTTGTGGTAATTTAGAGGAAGAAGCTTACATGTTAATGTATTCTGTCCAAAATATTTCTCAATCTATTATAAATATCATGAAGGAGTTTATTGTTTACTTGTTTTCCAAATGTGAATTTGTTCTCAGTTATAACTTTCCTCTTGTTACATATTCTTTATCATCAAAGAAGAATAAAACAACGATCATTTTTACCTAACAATCTACATATTATGTGCTCAAATTTGCTAAAAGATCCAATCTCTTTATTTCGTAGTTTGGAAGCAACACAGATCACTGATTGTATTTGTTCCTCTTTTATCTTTTTTATGTGGTAGAAAAATTATTTGAATTACAGATGTTAGACAGTGAATATATTTTTCTTCATTTAGATTGTAATATTACATAGAATGAAATGAATTAAATATGTTAACTCTAATGCTTTTAGCCTGAACCACATGAAATTACCAATATTTGACCTTTTTACCAATAAAAAGGACAATTTCTCCAATTTAACCCAATATAGAAGCATATATTGCCAAAAATATTGAGTACTTTGAGGTAATCTTTTTATTATTTTCTCTGTTTCTGAAGTGAATATTTAATTTTTGTTTCAGTTACTAATGGTTAGTTGTTCTCTGTTGCAACTAGCCAATGAACAGGTTTTTTATATATTTTATATTTGATTTTTCTGGAAAGTGAACCCATCGTACTAAGATTAATTTACATGTATTGATTTGCAGTCTTCTGTGCCAATTTAAGTTTTTATGTAACATATTTTTATATAGGGCATATTTTATTATAAATATCTATGTCTATATCTGCAACAATATCTACAGCTCTATTCTCAGTGCTATAAAATCATGAGAAAATCATAGCATTATGAAGTCCAGCAACATAGGGAACATTTAATATTTGATTAGTTTTAAGTAGTATTTGAGACTATGTGTGAGAGGCAGTGTTAAGCCTTAAATCACTCATATGGAGCAAATTGTCTGATAATATTTTGGTTTAAACATTTGAATAGTTATTTTTCTGCATAGTGATTTCAGTTCATTATAAACAGAGAAGATTCAGCAAGTTTCTGGAAATATTTAACATACTTCACATTTTATTTTATGGCTTTTGTATTGTCACCTGTGAAATCTAAAATTATATTCCATTTATTTTTTGTACATCTTAAAAAACTTGACAGGACAATTCTCTAAATGTAAGAAAAAAATCTAATAAACAAGAATGACTCAGAAGCTCTTTATGGTTGCACTTGCTCATTCAGGTTTTATTTTTTGATTTGCGAGTTATTGCAAAGTCAGTAATGGCCCCATCTTTATTTACTCCTGTACATAATTTATGTAATCCAGACATCTTTTTTTGCTTATGAGGGTTTTATTTTCATGTCAGTGTGTTATTTTCCCTATCTAAACTCTTCATTATTTGTCAGATTGGCATAATATTGTGCTGCTCTGGGTAGGATTTGAAATATTATTCTCATCTGGTAAAAGATAGCTGTTTCTAGACATGATAAAAATCAGGCATTACTGCTGGCTTACAGAATTCCTTACATAAAATGGTTTCTTTTACTGTTATGAGTGCCTGCACCAAAAATCTGCAGAAACTCAGAGCCTAGTGTTTCTCCCAAGTGCTGGCTGTTTTGATGCTCTAGTCACATTAACTAACCTCCTTTTCCTACATCACTGAGGATGATAGGATACTGCTGTTCTTCTGTGTATTTGCGTTTTCTCTGCCTCTCATTTAATTCTTTAAGTATTTTCACATGAGGGTACTTCTCCACCTCCTTGCACAGAGTTCTAACACCTCTCCCTGCTATGTTTTCTGTGTGTGTGTGTGCCTACTGGAAATTGTTGGAATTATTTGTGCCTATTGGAATTTGTTGTGGTTATGTCAGAAATTTTCATTTTGTTTTGTTTTCTTCTGTATTTCTTTCTTTTATAACTTCTTAATATGTTCCTAATATGTAACTACTAATTGCATTTTTTTTTGTCAATTATGCTGGCTGAAGTGTTTTCCCTTGAGGATTTATTAATGAGGATTCTTTAATTGGGGGTTTTGTTTCTGTTTTTTTGATAATTTTTAAAGTCACATAGGCTGAAGTATGCATCATCTAAAAGATTATGCTTTACATTGTTAATGTCATAAATACTGGACAGAGCTTGTTTATATAAAGTCTTATAACAAATTTGATCTTTGCATATAAGCAGTTTATATGCTAATTTTAATCCTCTATAGCTGCATTTTGAAGCTGCTCCTTTAAAACATATCTACAGGAAAAGAATTTTTAGTCTTTATGCCGATTAAAATGGTATTTATTAAAAATCTTTTTCTATAAATTAATTCAAATATATCTTCCCTCTAGTTCCCTTCAAATTAGCCTTAATTATCAAATACTGATTCATTAGTCTACCATATCTTGTTGTTTAAACTTACATGATTTCCTTCTGTTTTTATACAGAGAATGTCTTCTAAGAAGACTGTAAGTTCTGATTCAGTTTTTTCTGCTTTAGCTCCTACAACAACCTAGTGATTTGTTCTGTTGAACACAGTGGAGTCACTGTTAGACCTATTCATTTCTTTGCTACTACCATGTAAATAAAGGATTGTGGTCTGCATTCTAGATTTTTTTAAAAACATTGAAGTAGATTTATGATAGCTTAATGAAATTTATCTTTATAATAGTGTTTTTCTTGGAATGGTAGTGTCTTGTATGTCCAGTACCCAAAAATGTTATCATTGCTCCATTAAAATACTGGAAAATATGTGATGTCCTTTAGGATCTCCTAATTTTTGTTGATAAAGACAACAGCTCATCCCTCTGTCCTCTTCCCACTTCAGAATCAGGGACCCATTTTCTACTTTATCATCAACAGGAACATCATTTTTTTTTTGAGCCAAATCCCACATCTTTTGCTATTTTTTATTTGGTGATTTGTTTGTTTGCTTGGTTTATTTTGTTTGTAATGGTGGCCCACCACCACTTTATTATATTTTGTTTGTTTTCACTTTGGGGCTAGTTAAATATGTTAAGTAATAGACTGCTGACTGGTAAAACTAATGCCTATATTTTACCATATTGCTTTAGACCTTTTAAAAAAATCATGATACCCTGTTAAGTACTTATTGGTTTCTTTTGGCTGAATCCGAAAGGGGGCAGTACAACTTTGGTGTTTAATTTGTGAAAGTATTTTTTTCTTGTTTGCTCCTACAAGTTCTAGTTCTATTCATCTAATTTGATGAATTATCCATTCATCAAACCATGGAGTTGGAAGAGACCTTCAAGGCTACCATGATTCAGAAGGAATTTAAATATAACCTCTGGTTAAATTCCTTCTTCAATAGCCCTGTCTCTTATCCAGTAATTTCATCCATATTTTTAGGATGAACCTGAACAGTGAAATCAGCAGTAGTTGTCACTGTTGCATTTCTTCCCTTCCCTTCTTTTTTCTCCACTATAGAACTTTCTAGCACTGAAAAATAATTTCTGGCATTCTGGAAATGTAGGCAATTCCCGTTGGTAGTCATAATGAGAAAAAGAGGAATATGATATTTGAGAAAAGTAAATGAAGATGATGTCAGTGGTAGTGATTTTTTAAGAAAGTCATGAAAATGATAAAGTGGGAAAGTAAACCTGGGATTTCAAACTGCACTCCATTGGAACCAGTGAGGAGGGATATACTACTAGAGATGTGTAATAGCTGGACATGGTGGTACACACCTGGAGTCCAAGCTACTTGGGAGGCTTAGATGGAAGATCATTTGAGCCCAAGAGGTCAAGGCTGTGGTGAGCCATGATTGCGCTATTACACTCCAGCCTGGGTGCCAGAGCGAGACCCTGTCTCAAATTAAAAAATAAAAATAAAAAAGAAGTGTGTCAGAGATATCTCTAAGGACTCAGTGCAGCAAGAAACAGAACCTGAGAAGATATAAAGAGAAGATAGCATAAACATACTAGTCATAAACTTCTAAAGGTGCCAATATTTGGATGGAAGCAGACAGTAAAATTATATTCCAAATATATATATAGGATATATATACATATATATACACGTGTATATATAGGATATATATACGTATAATATATATATATATATTCCAAAAGTAAAGTAGCTTCATAAGCATTTCTATAACACTGCGCAGAGGAAGTTCTTGAAAGGTACTAGCAAGAATGGAAAAATAAATGGAAATTACCCCTAAAGTTAAAATATATGAATTGTCATTGATCATATCTTTAGTTTGCTATCCTTCTAAAAATTTTGTTTTAGTGACTGTAGGCCTATTGACATAGACTTTCATGTTCACTTGATCTTAATCACCTAATTCTGTTTTTCTTCACAATATATTAATTTTCTCAACCTTGAATTCTTGATCCAGAGATTTTCAAGAACTCTATTTTTGAAGTCAGGGAGAAACTATATAGAATTAAGAGTAATGGATGAGCTGCCAGCTCATTCACTGAGTCCCAGCCTTATTAGATCATTAACGTCAACAAGCCCAATACATTGATAAGGTACATGTTCTTGGAACTATATTTGATAAAATATTATACTTCTTCCTCTCAGAAAAATCTCTCAAGGTGTTTGCATACAAGTTACACAAAAATCACTCACTGGTCTTCCCCAAGTAATGGATATAATAAAGGTGGGCTCTCAGAACCAGATTGCTTATTTATTCCAGCTGGAGAGATACCCTTAGCAGATCTGATAGACATTTTTAGAAAATGCTTGTGAGGAAAAAAAGAGTGCTTCTTTTTTAATCTCTAATGAAAATATTTCACTTACTGTTAATACTCTGAATAGCCTGGTTATTACGAACTTTCACAGAGATCTTTAGATTCTTTGTACTTTTTTTCAGTGAGCTCACATCCTACTGAAGCCATATTGTCTGGGCAAGTTGCAAGAGGGGTAAACACAAAGCTTAATTCGGTGGACAGGATTTAGAATTTCCTTTGGTTCTTTGTTCCTGAAAGTGACCTGGTCATACCCAATAAGGGATTCTTCTTTTTTTTTTTTTTTGAGACGGAGTCTCGCTCTGTAGCCCAGGCTGGAGTGCAGTGGCGCGATCTCGGCTCACTGCAAGCTCCGCCTCCCGGGTTCACGCCATTCTCCCGCCTCAGCCTCCTGAGTAGCTGGGACTACAGGCGCCCACCAACACACCTGGCTAATTTTTTGTATTTTTAGTAGAGACGGGGTTTCACCGTTTTAGCCAGGATGGTCTCGATCTCCTGACCTCGTGATCTGCCCGTCTCGGCTTCCCAAAGTGCTGGGATTACAGGCGTGAGCCACCGCGCCCGGCCCGGGATTCTTCTTTTCTTTGCGACAAAAGGATAATAGTTGCATTAAAATCATTTTAAAAGTAATTTAAGGCCCACTAAGAGAGTAATCTGGAATAAACCTACTAATAGTCTGAATTAGTACTAAGTAATGGCTGAAGTATGCTCAGGCTAAAATTATTCTCTGTGATAAAAACAGTTGATAAAACAAATCTGTGGATTGCATGATTAGAGCTATGGTTATACTGAAGAAATTTGGAATCTTTTAAACAGCAAATATAAGCTAAAAACATTTTTAATTCATTGACTGTTTGATTTCTGTTGAAATAAAGGATTCTTTGCGGTTTTATTTTATTTTATAACTTCTTGCTATGATTGGTTTCTGTTCAACTATGTATGATATTTGTGAATTAGAATTTTTTTAAAAGTCACCTGTCAGATCAGAATGACTGGGATCTTGAAGGCTACGAGAAAGTTGCATAATACTAATACTATGAAAACAATCACTGTTAAAAGTTTATGATTTGATATAATCCAATAGCTCAGGGAAGTAGAAAGCGTATTTTCTTTCTCTAAGAATTGCCTTATTTTAAAACTAGAATGAAATTTTATTGGAATGAAATGAAAGAGAAGACATTACAACTGATTCTACAGAAACAGAATGGATCATAAGAGACCACTATGAACAATTCTACACCAACCAATTAGATTACCTAGAAGTGGATAAATGCCTAGACATATGCAGCCTATGAAGACTGAATATGAAGAAACAGAAAATCTAAAAATACCAATGACAAGTAAGGAGATTGAATTAGTAATCAAAATCTCTCATCAAAGAAAAGCCCAGGACCTGATGGCTTATGGCAAAATTCTGTCAAACATTTAAAGCAGAACTAATACCAGTCCTTCTCAAACTCTTCCAAAAAATCAAAGAGCAGATAATACTTTCAAACTCTTTTTATGAGGCTAGCATTACTCTGATACCAAAGCCAGACAAGGACATTTAAAAAAAGAAAATTACAGGCCAGTATCCTTATGTATATATTATGCAAATATCCTCAACAAAATACTAGCAAACCAAATGCAACAACGCATTAAAAATATCATCCACCATGATCCAGTGTTATTTATCCCTGGGATGCAAGGACAGTTCAAAATACAGAAATCAATAAATGTGATACATTGCCTTAACAGAGTGAAGGACGTATGATCATCTGATACGGATGAAGAAAAAATACTTGACAAAATTCAACATCCTTTCATGTTAAAAAACTGTCACCAAATTAGGTATAGAAGGAACTCAACACAATAAAGACTATGTATGACATTCAGCTAACATCATACTGAATGGGAAAAGCTGAAAACTTTCCCTCTAAGGACCAGAAAAAGACAAACATACCCACTGTTACCTCT
Organism: Homo sapiens; assembly: GCF_000001405.40. Lineage (NCBI taxonomy): Eukaryota > Metazoa > Chordata > Mammalia > Primates > Hominidae > Homo > Homo sapiens. The sequence goes on from NC_000002.12 coordinate 148,171,586, forward strand.
CTTTCTCATTATAGTACTGGAAGTCCTAGCCAGCACAGTTAGGCAAGAGAAAGAAAGAAAAAGCATCCAGATAGGAAAAGAAGTAGTAAAACTATTGCTGTTTGTTGATAACATGATCTTATGTATAAAAAACCCTACAGATTCTACCAAAAAACTATTAGAATAAACAAGTACAGTAAAGTTGCAGGATACAAAAAATCAACATACAAAAATCAGAAGCGTTTCTATACACTTAAGTGAACTGTCCAAGAATCAAGAAAATAATCCCATTTACAATCGCTACAAACAAATTTAAGAATAAATTTGCCTGGGCACTGTGACTCATACCTATAAACTGAGCACTTTGGGAGGCTGAAGTGGGAGGATCACTTGACACCAGGAGTTCATGACCAGCCTGGACAGCATAGCAAGACCCCATCTCTACAAAGAATTTTGAAAGTTAGCCAGGTGCAGTGGCATGTGCCTGTAAGTCGCAGCTACTCAGGAGGCTGAGGTGTGAGTGATGTCCACAATGGCCTGTCTGGAACTGCCCCTGCAAAGAATCCAGCTGCAGGGGGGGAGGTGCAGCCAAAGCTGGGTGCTCTGAGGAGCCTGCAGGAACCAGGAACAGCACCTGCAGCCACCCAGCAGTGGCTGTAGACCCTGGCATCCCTGCGCTATCAGAAGCCTGGGAAGCCCACCCTGCCCCTGCAGGCTCCAAGACACCTGCTCCTGCTGCCTGGCCTCTCCTTGCTCCCGGTGCCTGCTCCCATTTCAGAGCAAGGTTGAAGGCGAGCTGAGGCACTCTTGTGACCAGTCAAGTGTGTGCATGCTCGGGGCTGTGCAGACATGCCAGCTCCCACTGCCACCTCAGCCCCCTCTGAAACTTTGGGAGGGAGGCCTGGGGTTGGGGAAGGCAGAGGGTGGCTGGGGCAGGCCTGTTGGCTATTCCCCTCCACAGGAATAGCCTGGCTGCCCTGGTTGACATGATTGATGGCAGCAGGAGACAGACAGGCTCCTGGGTGGAAAGGGGCAGGTCCCTGGTGAAGCCCCACCTTCAGACTAAGGACAGCCTGAAGCGTGGGTGCTAGGCTGTTAGTTCCAGGTGGAGTCTGCCAGTCAGAGTGAAAACTTATGATGCTTTTTCCAGACCCGCCATGGCTGCCCATGGACCAGTCACCATGTACTTCCTCCCTTCTGAAGCCCATAAAAACTCTGGACTCAGTCAGACTCATACAGACCGTTGGGACTACCAGGTGCGGGAAGGAGCTACCCATTTCAGGTCTCCTCAGCTCTTAATTACCAGCCTGCAGAAATCAGCCACCCACCATGGGTCTCCTCGCCACTGAGAGCTGGACACTCATCAGGACGACCTGCCTGCGGAAAAGAGCTACCCACTTCAGATCTCCTGAGAGCTGCTCTGTTGCTCAGTGAAGCTCCTCTCTGCCTGCTCACCCTCCAGTTGTTCGCGTACCTCATTCTTGCTGGATGGTGAGACAAGAACTTGGGACCCGCCGAATGGCACCACTGAAAGAGCAGTAACAAACAGGGCTAAAACACGCCCCCCACTCACCACAATGCGGGCGACTAGAAAGAAAGACGAGCTGTAACCCTTCTGGGAGCCCAAACCAGGGGGCTCCTTGAGCCAGTGCTGTGACACCCTCTTTGTGGCTCTGTGTATCCTGGCATCTCCAAGCTTCCACGAGCCACTGTGTTCCCAGGTGTCTCCGGTGGAAATTGCTTGCGGTATGCCTGGTCCAGCCATAGCCTTGCACGTAGCTGGTGCCTTTGCCAGCGCCTGGGGCAGCCCACCCCGCTGCAGTCAGCACGCCTGGCTCTGCGCAGTGGTCGGACCCCACGCTTGCTCACACACCCGTTGCCACTCCTTGCCAGGCTCACCCTTGGCAAGTGTGGATCTGGGCCAGTATCATGAGCTGAACTCAGTCTGCGTGCTCAAGTGGACAGAATGAGCCCAGTGGACCCTAGCAAAACTCAGGCAAAGGCGCCACTAGCCACAGAGGTTTCTGGCTGGCAAAGTGACACCCCAAGGATCCCATAATGGGAGATTTGCTTGTGCCCAGCAGTAAAGAGGCTACAGTGAGCTATGATCCTGCTCCTGCACTCCAGCTTAGGTGACAAAGCAAGACTCTGTCTCATAAATAAATAAATAAATCTAACTACACAGGTTCACTGAAAACTAAAACATTGATGAAAGAAATTGAAGAAGACACAAATAAATGGAAAGATATCCCATGTTTATGCATTGAAGAAACTAATATTCTTAAAATGCTCATATTACCCAAAATTATCTACAGATTCAATACAATCCATATCAAAATTCCAACATCATTTTTCATAGAAATAGATTAAGAAATCCTAAAATTTATATGGAACCACAACAAAAACTTGCATAGCCAAAGCAATCATGAGCAAAAAAATCAAAGCTGGAGGCATCACACTACCTGAATTCAAATTGTACTACAAACCTATAGTAATTAAAAATACTGTAGTGCTAGCAAAAAAAATTAAAATAAAAATGAACACATCCCCAGTGGACTGGAATAGAGAGCTTAGAAATGAGCCCATGCATGTATGGTCAATTGATTTATGACAAAGATGTCAACAATAAACAATGGCAAAGGATAGTCTCTTTAATAAATGATGTTGGGGAAAGCTGGATATCCACATATAGAAGAACAAAATTGGACCCTTATTTCACTCCATATACAAAAATCAACTCAAAATGGATTAAAGACTTAAATGTTAAGACCAGAAACTGTAAAACTCCTAGAAGAAAACTTAGGGGGAAAACTGCAAAATTGGTCTGGGTATTGATTTTTTGGATTTGACCGCAAAAGTGCAGGCAACGAAAACAAAAATAGATAAAGGGGATTATATCAAATGAAAAAGCTTCTGTACAGCAAAAGAAACAATGTACAGAGACAGCCTACAGATTGGGAGAAAATATTTTCAAGTCATACATTGAATAAGGGGTTAATATCCAAAATATATAAGAAGCCGAAACACCTGAATAGCAAGAAAATTTTAAAAAAAAACATTAAAAATTGGAAACGGACCTGAATATACATTTCTCAAAAAAAGGCATCCAAAAGTCCAACTGATACAAGAAAAACTTCTCAACATTGCTAATCATTCAGGAAATACAAATTAAATCTGTAATGATATATAATTTCACACCTCTCAGAATGACCATTACCAAAAAAAAAAAATACAAAAGATAACAAATGTTGATGACGATGTAAAGAAAAGGAAAACTTTGTACACTGTTGGTGGAAATGTACACATGTGGAAAACTGTGTGAAGGTTCCTCAATAAACTAAAAATAGAATTATCTGATGATCCAGCAATCCCATTTCTGGATATTCACCCAAAACATTTTAAATTAGTTTGTTTTAAGAGATGTCTGCACTTCCATGTTCTCTGCAGAGCTGTTCACAATAGCCAAGTTACAGAATCAAACTAAGATGATGAATGGATAAAAAGTAGAGTATGGTAAAATTCAAGATTGCTAAGAGAGTAAATTTCAAATATTCTCACCACAAAGAATATTAAGTATTTGAGGTGGACATGTTTACTGGCTTCATTTAGTTATTTTGCATTGTATTCATAAATCATAACTTCACTTCGTATTTTATAAATATATATAGCTATTGTGAAAATACAACAAAACATTGAAATTGCAGTCATATTTTAAGAAGGTATAATTTTTTGTAAGAGAATTGAAAATGTTTTAAAACCACAAATTTATATCTCAGTATTGACCATACTTAATGGATCTTGATGTGATTAGGCACATAGAATATTACATTTAGAAGCAAGACCAAGGTTTTAAGAAAACTCTTTGTATCATAGAGACCTTATTATATTATTTAGATTGCACAGGAATAATAGAATGTATGTACAGCTAAGTGGGGCTTAGTAATCATCTTTTTTGTGAGGAATAAGAAAAGTTGGAAGTGGAACACCATGGCATTCTGTTTGCAGATGGAAAACCTGACCAAAGATATCTTCATATTAATTTCTGAGGCTTCCAGAGTTATTGGAGATTTTAGGTTACTGGATGGGGCCTTCAGAAAATACCATAGTTAATTGTAGACTGCTGGAGTTTGAAATCCAGTTCTTCCAGTTATTAGCTATGGAACCTTGGATAACTTATGTAATCTATGTTCCTCACTTTCTTTATCTGTAAAATATAGATGATAATAGCACTTCTTTATTTTCTACTTTTTAAGAACATAAGCACTTCTTAGGATTGTTGTGAGAATTAACTGTACTACTTATAATTTAGAACTCAGTAAATGTTAGCTATTATTTACTATATTTAAAAGCAAGAAATAAGTTTTAGTAATTTACATGACAAATGTTAGTGCTACTTAACAATGCCTGTTATCTGGAAACTTGTATTTTTAATCATTAAAGATTAATATGATTGAATTCTTTTGTGATGTAGACTATTTGTGATTTACAGAGCTATTGGTTCTTATTAAAAAAGATAAACTGCAATGATAAACTGTGGATTGATTTGAATTTGTAGAAAATCTGAGATCTTTAGCATTACATGCATGTAAAAAGAATACTTTATTAAGAGTACTTCAAACTAGGTAAGGAAAATAAGAGCTAAAGTATAGTTTTCTTTTCTGGTTTAGTAGTTTTTAAGGTCTCCATCCTTGTTATGTATAACAAAGACTCAGATAATTACCTCTGTTTATTAGAGTTTTGTTTTTTTTTTTTTTTTTTCAGAAAAAAATCTTAAATGGTATATGTGTATGAATATATTTTTATTGCAAAGTATTTGGGGACCTGTTTATAAGAATTTTCTTGCTTTTTTTTTTTTTTTGAGACAGAGTCTTGCTCTGTTGCCCAGGCTAGATTGCAGTGGCATAATCTCAGCTCACCGCAACCTCTGTCTCCTGGATTCAAGAGATCAATTCTCCTGTCTCAGCCTCCCGAGTAGCTGGGATTGTAGGCGCACACCACCACACCCAGCCAATTTTTGTATTTTTAGTAGAGACAGGGTTTCACCATGTTGGCCAGGCTGGTCTCGAACTCCTGACCTCAGGTGATCCACCTGCCTCAGCCTCCCAAAGTGCTGGGATTACAGGCTTGAGCCACTACGCCCAGCAACAATTTTCGAAACTAAAACATTAATAGCCTATTTCATGTCATTTTTAGTAGTTATGAGAGAGAGAGAGACGATTCAAGACTTCATAAAATTTTTGACTTTGTATTTAAACAGAAAATTAAGCTAGGAGTGCTTCTCCCCAGCCTGCCACCCCCACTAACTTAAGGACAAAAAAAAAAAAAAAATTAATTCTGAGCCATCAAGGGCATGTTTCTAGTTATATGTGAGGTTTTCAGTAAAATTTTCATTATGGAATATAACATTTCCCTCTTTTTTGCCACAGTATTTTATTGATTGTCTACCTACACAGTTTACCTAAGAGGATAGCAAAGCTTACAAAAGATATAATCCATAAACATGATTTTAGTATGTCTATATTGATTTATTGCTGAAGTCCTATTTACTATATGTTCAAAGTTCCTTCCTAAGCTGGTGGGTCTCAGGATTATCTTTAAAGATTAGAAATATAATCTTAGAAAACTCAAGAAGTATTTACATAAATGCTAACAATGAGAGTCTAGTAATAGTCAGTGTTCATATGTGTGCTTTAGATCACAATTCTACACGGACTGTAGATCTACATTATAATCAAGATGCCTGTAAAGAATAGAGAATCTGCCTCAGCCTAGTTCTGAACCAGAACTGTGGGCATGCACCTGGGGTTCTAGATTTTAAAGTGCTACTTTGGTCCTTAAGTGCATTACAGTTTGAGATTCATGCCAGATACTAATTGCATCATGCTTGCATCCTTGTATCTAAGATATTACATGGTCATTGAGGTATGTTTGTGTGTATCATGGAAGCTTTCAAATCATTTTGACATTTAGTATTTGTATTAGAAATAACTCAGTGTTTTTCATAGACATCTGTAAATAGTATTTTTGGAAGTTAATGTCTTATTAATATGTAGAAACTAAGCTAAATATTTGCAGTGAAATTGTTTCTCAACTGGAGAAAAAGATATCCTTCCTTCATGCTTTTTAAAAATACCTGAGCCCTGGCCCTACCTCATACTAATTAAACCATAATATGTAAAGAATATGCTGAGTGTGAATATATTTTAAAAGTGTTTCAAGTGTTTGATTGTACAGCTGCAACTGAAAAACCGACATCTGCACTAATGACCAAAAGGAGCAATGATAATTGCTAATCCAAAAATCATTTATGTTTGGCTTGAGAATCTACAGTACTCAAAACCACTTACTTGGGAGGATGAGAAAGGAGGATCTCTTGAGCTCAGGAGCCCAAGACCAGCCTGAGCAACACAGGGAGACCCTGTCTCAAAACAAAACAAAAACAAAAAGTACATATTAAGTATGGCACTGTAGAATCCAAATCCTGTTTCCCTAACTGCATTGTCAAGGAATTCACAATCAAGTTCTTTAGGCAAAAAACACTCTCTCTGGATAATCACATTTGTCTATTAGAGGGAATTTTATTTAAAGGGCTTTTTTTTTATGCTAAGTTTAGCAGGTTGGTGTAAAGTACTGACTGGGGAGATTTAAGTAATAAGAGGAATAGAATTTTGAATTTTTCATGAGGACAGAATACTGAACTAATTGATTTCTATGATTTTGGCTTTTATAAGCAACTCAAGTGTAATTAAGAATATTTTTGTAATAATTTTGAGCAGGGAAACTATTTTTTAGAATGGGGCTCTGTTCATGCAGGACACCACAATTTATGTATTTTAAATCGTATAAAAATTTTGCATAGAAACTAGGTAGGCAGATCAAATTAGTATTATAGAAAGTACTCAACTCTGTGACATGGATCATAACTTACGTTCCACAAAATATTCTGATTCTTCTAAACGGTTAATCTTAATGTTATTGCTGTTTGTTTACATAAAATATGTCCTATAATACATCCCTTTGCCCAGGCTTATTATATAAAGTCATGAAGAATAATTTCAATTTTTTTATATTTAAACTAAATGAAGCAATATCTATAATCTCAAATTCATTATATTTTCTTATGCTTCTCTTTTAGATGTACATTGAAGATGTCAGTTTCTACATGTGGGAAGTAGACATTGAAGGCTTTATGGTTTACAGACAAGATCTTTAGAAGATAAGCACTAAAGGTAAGTAGTAACTATAGCCCCATATATAATTTCATGTAAATGGTTAGGGTTGTCAGATTATAATTCGACTTGTTAAACTTGTTTACTTTTTATCACTGCTCCTGTCTAAGTTACCTCACAACTGCATTCATTCATATTCAGACACAAATTTTTATTCCATAATATCATCTTGACAGAAAGTATCAGATTTCATTTGTAATAAGCGGTTGATTAAAAAATAATAAATTGTAATACACAAGTGCAAACCAGTTAAGAATAAAGAATAAAAAAGTAACTTCTGGCCGGGCGCGGTGGCTCACGCCTGTAATCCCAGCACTTTGGGAGGCCGAGGCGGGCGGATCACGAGGTCAGGAGATCCAGACCATCCTGGAGAACACGGTGAAACCCGGTCTCTACTGAAAATACAAAAAAATTAGGCGGGCGTGGTGGCAGGCGCGTGTAGTCCCAGCTACTCGGGAGGCTGAGGCAGGAGAATGGCGTGAACCCGGGAGGCGGAGCTTGCAGTGAGCCGAGATCGCACCACTGCACTCCAGCCTGGGTGACAGAGCGAGACTCTGTCTCAAAAAAAAAAAAAAAAGTAACTTCTATCAAACCTGTGAATACAACTCAGCAGAATTTAATTTGAAAAAATAATTAAACAGAAAAACTATTATTCATTGCACTGTTTTCATGTATTTATTAATCAGCCCCTTTAACAAGTTAAGAACTTGTTCTTTATCCACTCCAAAACACTCTGTCATAGTTTCATATACTCATAACATTATAACCCCTGAATACAAACCTCTTTTCATTTTATCATGGCTCCCCCAAAATTTCTCTTTACCTAGCATATTCTTTCACGTAGCACGTTCTGTTCATGCCTCCCATGACTGCTTACATACTTAACATGACTAAGTAAATTTCTGAGCACATTTTGTTAAAATTTCAAGTGAGATACAAGGGGAATAAACCTCCAAAAACAATATTTTAATGTTCCTTGCCAAATGGGGACAATGGAAGCCTGGAGAGTATGTGACCTGTAAACGGGATGCTCCTATTCAGTTCTAGGATCCTTGCTAAATGGAAATGAGATGCTGTAAAATCAATTCTCAGTAGTTTTTTTAAAGAACAGAAATAAATTTGAAAAATCCTTATTTTTAAATGTCAGCATAAAATTTTTCCTTTGAAAAAAAGTTTACTTTTGCTACTACTTAAGCCAAGTAAAACAGTTTACAGCCCCTAGTGCAGGAGTGTTTTTTCTTTTTTCTATTTTTCTTTATTCTCTTAGAGTGCAAGTATTTAGAGTCTATTTTTTCTCCTTAATTTGTGGTTAACTGTTTAATGATTTTTGCCAGTTTTCTATAATGAATATTATTGTCAGAAATGACTTCTCTTGAAAACATAAGTGATATTACTTATTTCTAATTCATTTACATAGTTATATATGGTGACTTGGTTACTTGGAAGAGCTATTCAATTGTTTTCTGAATTATAATGATTAGATAACTATTTTTATGGTTCCTTCTTCTCCACAGTCTAAATCAGATCCTTCTAGTAAAAAAAAATTATACATATATATATATATATATGTATATATGTATCTTTTACTTTAAGAGATGTAGTCTCTTTAAGTTGCTCAGACTAGATTTGAGCTCCTGGGCTCCAGCAATCCTCCCACCTCAGCCTCTCAAGCAGCTAGGACTGCAGGTGTGCATTAACCATGCCGGGCACTTTCTGGTTTTTGTTGTTGTTGTCGTGTGTTTGTTTGTTTGTTTTGAGGCAGGGTCTTATTCTGTTGCCCAGGTTGGAATACAGTGGCATAATCATGGGTCACTGCAGCATCAACCTCCTAGGCTCAAGCCATCTTCCTGCCTCGGCCTCCCAAAGTGATGGGATTACATGCATGTGCCACCTCGCCCGGCATCTTTTTTTTAAAAGACCTTTTACACAAAGAGAAAGCAGAGTTAATCACACTCTTAGGTCCATGGGGCACTGTCATTACTGGTTCATGCAAAGCACTTCTTGTTTTATTTATTTATAAATTTTCCAGTCTCATTCTCCTGCCCTTGACCCATAGGAAATCATTCTAATATTATGATATTCTAAAATAATATCTATTGTACTGTTCTATTTTGTTTATATTTTCATAATGAGTATTGTTTTGCATGCATACATTTTAAAATTTTTATATGAGAAATTTCAAATAAATGAAAAGGAAAAGAGAGAATATTATGAACCGCCACATGTCTATATGTCAGCTTCAACAGTTAGCATCTTATGGTACAATTTGTTTTACCTCTGACCTCTCCTCACCCTGACTTATATACATGAAATTTAAATAAGTGTAAGTGATTTCGTGCTGTGTATCTCATTGTGATCCTTACTATTTTATTTCATATAACCTTAAGTTTTAAACTTTATTTATGTTGCCATGTTTTTACTGCTGCTTACTGCTACATGGTAATCCACAGTATATGGCAGCCATATTTTCACTACCCATTTTCCTCAGTGTTTGCCATCCAAATTGCTTTCAATTTCCTTTTACCACATGTTCATCATGTCCTATCGTGGAACTTTGCAAGGATTTCTTTAGAATATATACCCAGGAGCAGAATTGCTGGGTGACAGAATATATGTTTATGATTAATTTAACCAATCCCTATCAGATGCGTCCCCACATAAATACTTTGGTCTTTACAGACTCCAGCAATAACCTTCTCATCATCCATGCCAGCCCTTAACGTTTTCCAGCTTACTCATGTTTTCAGTCTAATGTGTGTAATTTTATAGATCATTGTTTTGAGTTTTTTAAAATCACTATTGAGTTTGAGTATCTCATCATATACCTGTTGGCCTTTTGATTTCCCTCTTCTGAACTTGCTTCTCATATTCTTTATATATTTTTTCATTTGGGTTCAATTGTTTTATAGGAATTTGTTGTATGTGCTCGATATTAATTTCCTATCAGTTTAGATATTATAAAATATCTGCTTCCATTCTTTCAACTTTTAAATTTTATGCATGATGTTCTTTAAGTAGACATTCAGATTTTAAATATCCCATTAAAAATATTTTCTTGATGTTTATTGCTGGAGTACATGAGTGCTACTGATATTTTTAAAAGTTTATCTTTGTCCTAACTATATTGCTAAACCCTCTTATTCTTAACAGATTGTTCTTTTTTTTGAAATAGATTATTATAATCATTTGAAATTAATGATAATATTATTTCCTTCCTTCCCATCTTTATATTTAAACTCCTTTCTTCTTTCCTATATCTTTTTTTGTTAGTTCCTCTGGAACTATGTTAACGAGTAGTAGTGATGTTGGCCATCTCATGTCTCATCATAAAGGAGGTGAACCTAAAGTTTCTCAATTAATACTTACAAAATGTTTTTTAATATATAACATTTACCAGATTAAGAAAGGTTCTTCTATTTTTAGTTTGCTAAGCAGTCTTATAAATAGCTATTGAACCTTAACAATGCTTTTTATTATGTGTATGTTAAAATAATTATAAGGTATTCATCCTGTGGTATATTAATGTTATGTATTATATGTATAGAATTTCTAATATTAAACCATCCATGCATTCATAGTTTGCATTATGAAGTATTACCTGATCATGATGTATTATTCTTTAATACACTGTTGTGTTTGGTTAGCAAATATCTGACTGGAGATTTTGGAATCTATATTTTTAAGTTAAATGCAGTGTAATTTTCTTATTTTCCTCGTTTGGTTTTATAATTAAGATTACACTAGCCTTCTAAAATGAGATGTGCATGTTTGCTCCTTTTAAGAAAGGAATTTACTGTTTCTTTTAATGTGTGCTAACTCAAATGTAAAACTATCTGGTTCTGGGGATTTTGGTGAGGACATATCTTTGACAATTATATACATCTTTAATGCTTTTTGGTCAATTCAGGTTTCCTTCTCAGCTTCTTCCACTCCCCTTCCAATGGCTTTTGATGGCAGCTGGTATTCTTCTCACCCTCAGGTATACCTCAGACTGAGTTTCCTTTGAGTCAGGAAATACTGAGCCCACATTGACATTCACATTCACATTCACAGGAAATCTCAGTGCCCACATTCAACTGAGCCATGTAATGGGCACCCCGCTTTTGGACTGACTGGGAATTGATTGTCCTAACTCTGACCACTGGTCTCTGATCTGCCTGGTCTTGCTTCAGTTAAACTCCCTCTGCCACATACCTAAATTAATCCTGCACTACGACAGTATCCTGCTTTTGTATAACTAGAAATTTCAGTTAATAATGCCCTGAATTGACTTCCTCATAGCTCTTAAAACTTCTGGTTATATGTGTCAAGATGAATATTTTGATAAAAGAATAAGTAAAGCATCATGTTCAGGAAAGTAAGTGTTGCAGAAGAAATGAGCAATGATATGGTCTGATGTCCTCTACATTTGATATATACTATATATCAATTTGATATATAGTATGTATCTGATTGTAGTTAACTCCAGGAGATTTTCCCCTTATCTTAGAGTTTGAACCATATAGTGACCATGTATTATCGAAGAAAAATGAAGGGTATTTCCCCTTACAAAAAGAAAAAGGAGTAAAGATCATAAGCAGGAAGTTCATGGACACACTAACAAAAATAAATGAAATAGTAATTATAATCATAATTGTTTATACATTACAATGTGTTTCACCATTTTCAATATTTAAGTTTTTCCCACACTTTGAATGTTTTCTGAATTTATTTTGAATCTTTTATTACTAAAAAAAAAATTGGATGTATATATATCTCTCCTACAAAGAATCTTGTCCATTCTGACATCCCTTTGTCTCTTCATCTTCTCCTACCCCATCATTTGCTACTATCTACTTTAAATCCTAAACCATTATGCCCCTATGTTCTCCTTTTCTTAGTTGTTGGCTATTTAAAAAAACAGCACATTTTCCCAAGACATTTTGTCAGCATTACTTCACACGTCTTTTAATTATCTTCCATATTTGTTTCTATTTAAGGATTTTATCAAAAACTGTCTTCTGAGGTCTTGTATGCTTGGAAATATATGTCATCATAGCCTCATAGTTGAATGACTGCATTGTCATATGTAAAAATCTAGGTTTTAATATTTTTCCTTCAATACTTTGAAAATCCATGATATTCCCTAATCACATTGTAAAAAAATTTTTTTAATTAATTTAAAAAAATAAAATCCATGATGTTTTTGGCCTGTTCAACTCCATCATTCCTTCAAATACATCCTTCTTAATTTTTTTTTTTTTTTTGAGACCTTCTGACTCTGTCACCTGGGCTGGAATGCAGTGACACAATCTCTGCTCAACCTCCTCCTGGGCCCAAGCGATTCTCCCACCTCAGCCTCCTGAGTAGCTGGGACTGCAGACACATGCCACCACGCCCAGCTAATTTTTGTATTTTTTGATAGAGATGGGGTTTCACTGTGTTAGCCAGGCTGGTCTTGAACTCCTGACCTCAAGTGGTCCTCCCGCCTTGGCTTCCCACAGTGCTGGGATTGTAGGTGTGAGCCACCAGACCCAGCCTATTTTTCTTTCTGAGTCTCCTGTTATTCAGATGTTAGCACTGTCAATCCCTTAGCCTTTCTTTTATATTTTCTATATCCTTGTTCTTAGGTTTGAAGATTTCCTCAAACTGATCTTTGGATTCATTAATTTACTCCTCATTTAAATTCTATTATTTATCCAGTCTATATACTTCAAGTATTATATTTTTGTACCTAATATTTCTGCGTGCTTCTTTGTTCTCTTGTTCTTATTATATGCCGCTAATATCTTCCCTTATCTCTTTTAGTATGTTTATTAGGCTTATTTTAAGTTCTTGGGACATCAGATCTAATAATTCTGCTTCTCTTAGAATCTGTATGCCAATATTTTATTTTTCTTTGAAAACAGTTGTGCTTCTTCAATGTCTTGATATGTTGACCTGTAAGGTAATTTCCCTCTGGGGATATTGGCTACTATGACATCACATGTGGGAAGAGACTAGTATCCAGTCTGGCATTTTCAGTGAGCTCAAAGGATGGAAGGTAGGTAGAAAAGCCCCAGGCTACTTGAGAAATCAGTTTATCAAATCTACAAAATGACACCTCAGATCTCTGCTTCACCATCTCTCCGCTTCTCCCTGATCCCACCAGGGAGAACAGCAGCCAAAGCTATTTATTGTAATTTACCAGCTTTACGGTTTAGTAGGAAAGGGCAGAGAAATTACTACCTAAGGTTAGTTGGTCTCCACCTGTTTTCCTCAGCTTTTTATAATTATGGTTTACTTCTGAGGGCATTTGGACTGTAGTCTGAGTCCCTGTAGATATGGGAACTATAAGTTTTTTACTCAAGTCATGGAATAGTCAAAAGCAGAACTCCAATAGTTCATTTCCTGTTTTATCCTCCCACATATTTGAAGGACTGCCTCCTGCCCCAGATCCAAGGCCCAAGCCACCAGCCAGCACACTTACCAGTTCAAAATTGTCCTTTTTCACCCCACTTTCTTCCCTGGGAGTTTTCGGGTTTTCTTATTTCTTGGCTTTTTTTCTTTATATTTCCTATAGGAGTTGGTCTTTGGAGAGGGAACCAGACAGTGTACTATTCCAACATCTTGGTATTATCTTTCTGAAAGAAACTCAAACAAAAGCTATATGTATGTGTGTACCCTTTGACCCAGAGATTACATTTCTAGAAATTTCTCCAAAATGTATTATCAAGAACTATTTAATCATGATATTGGAAAACAGTTTAAATATCCAAAAGTGGGGGTTAATTAAATAGATACATAGTCATGGAATAAACTATTCTGAGTAATACACTACTGATTTCTGGTTTTTTAAAAGATTGATGCTCAGGTGTGGTGGCTCATGTCTATAATCCCAACACTTTGGGAGACTGAGGTGAGAGGATCACTTGAGCTAAGGAGTTCAAGACCAGCCTGGGCAACATAATGAGGCCTCCTCTCTACTAAAAAATGTAAAAGTAAAATATCAGCCAGGCATGGTGGTACGTGCCTGTAGTTCCAGCTATTCAAGAGGATTGCTTGAGCCTAGGAGATCTTGATCTGTTTCTAATGACTATCTTTTCTCTTGGTTTTAGGTCACATTTTCCTACCTTTTAAAATGTCTTGTAATTATTGAATTGATGGGTTTGCGTAGGATAGTTTTTAAATGTGGATATTTAGCATGATTTGCGTATCTCTGTTATAAAGTACTTCTCAAACTGTAATTATTTCTTTACCTCTATAACACACAGAATGTTAGGACTGAGAAAAGGATGACTGGAGCTGGCAGTTGAATCACTGGTTTAGTTGCAGTATAGTACTAGAATGAAAGTAATACGGTTTGGCTGTGTCACCACTCAGATCTCATCTTGAATTCCAACGTGTTGTGTGAGGGACCCAATGAGAGGTAATTGAATCATGGGGGCGGGTCTTTCATGTGCTGTTCTCGTGATAGTGAATAAGTCTCATGAGATCTGGTGGTTTTTAAAAACAGGAGTTTCCCAGCTCAAGCTCTCCCTTTGCCCTCTGGCTGATTGTGAGGCCTCCCCAGCCATGTAGCACTGTAAGTCCATTAAACCACTTTTTCTTCCCAGTCTTGGGTATGTCTTTATCAGCAGCATGAAAACAGACAAATACAATGAGTAAAAGGAAATAAAAAAGAAGCAGTCACAATCCTTTCATGTAATTTGTCAACAAGAGGGTAGATGCAGCATCATGGAGGAAACACTTTACAATGCTTTGAATATTACCCAAATCAAATTGCCCTTAAAAAAGTAAAGAGAAATTAAAACAGTCATGAAGAAAAGAGCCTCAAATTAAAATAGAGACTTTTAGAGATTTTTTAATAACAGGACATTTTGCCGTTGTGATTTGGAGAAAGTTTTTCCTTATAGTTTTTAACCAACTTGAGAATAGACACGAAGAGCCAGATGGGAAGACAACTAAATCTAAACATTTTACAAAACCTTGATAGTGATCAGCATCTAGCCAAGAATTATAAGACATGAAAAAGTAGGAAAATTAACCCCAAACCACTAGAATAGACAATCAGTAGAAACAGAGCAAGAAATGACAGCAATAATGTAAACAGCAAAGACTTTAAAACATCTAATTGTACACATATACAAGGATATAAAGTAAAACATTAAAACAATGAAGAGAGTCTTAGAAAATATATTTTTTAGCTCTAGGAATTCCCACATCTGAATGGAATATCCACTGGATGGGTTTCTCAATGCAATAAACATTGCCAATTAAAAAGATCAATAGACTTGAAGAAAGTATGAAAAACTGAACCGCTGCTGGGTACAGTGGCACGTGCCTATAGTCCTACCTACTCAGGAGGCTGAAGTGGAAGAATAGCTTAAGTACAGGAGTTTGGGGCTGTAGTGTGCTATGATCACATGTGTGGATAGCCACTGCATTCCAGCCTGGACATACTAGCCAGTCCCCAAGTCTAAAAACGAGTAAGTAAAGTAAAGTAAAAACTGAATTAGAGAGTAAGAAAACTGAACCCTCCCCCTTCCTCCATACCCCCCCCAAAAAAAAAACCCAGCACCTAAGTGTCCTGATACTATGAGGCATAACAAATATGGAATTGGAGTTGCAGAAGGGGTGAGGGCAGAAAAAATATTTGAACAAATATGGCCAAAATTGTTCCACATTGGATGAAAAATAGAAACATAAAAATCCAAGTTCATTTAACTTCAAATAGAAAAGAAAACCATACCAAAACATATCATTTCTGAAACCAGTGATAAAGAGAAAAGTCATAAAAGTAAATGAAGAAAAAGGCACATCACAAAATGCAAAACAAAAATGAACTGACTTCACATCAGAAAAAATGCAAACCAGAAGATAATGGAATGAGATCGGTATCAAAAGATGAAGACTTATAAACCTTAAATTCTATAACCAGGAAAAAACATCTAAAATGATGACATTTTCAGAAAAAAAAAATCCACTGAGAGAATTCATTGCTAGCAGACCTGTTACAAGAAATGTTAAATAAAGTCTTAAGGCAGAAGAAAAATGATGCTAGATGGAAACTCGATCTCTTCAGAAGAATGAAGAGCCCCAGAAATTGTAAATAGATTGGTAAACATAAAAGACTGTTGTTTATATATTTAAAAAGATAACTGACTGCTTAAGTAAAAAACACTGAAAAATAAAAATGAATATTTTGTTATCACATATGTAGAAGTAAAATATATGGCAATAGTGCAAAGAATGGGAGGGATAAATTGTAGTACAGGTGGAATATTCCTAATCCCAGAATCCAGAATGGTCCAAAATTCAAAACTTATTGAGTGCCTACCCGATGCTCAAAGGAAATGATCATTGGAGCATTTCAGATTTTGGATTTTTGGATTAGGGATTCTCAATCTGTTTAACACAAGTATTCCAAAATTTGAAAAAATTCAAAATTTGAATGAATTCTAGTCCCAGACATTTCAGATATTGTGTCTTAAGCTCATTATATTATTAGGAAATTATAGGCTATTATTTAAAATTGGGCTGTGATAAGTTAAAGATGCATATTTAAACCCTAGAGCAATCACCAAAGATTTAAAACAAAGAAATATAGCTGATAAATCAATAGAGGAGATAAAGTAGAATACTAGAGAACTGGCTAGGCATGATGGCCAATGCCTGTAAGTAAACACTTTGGGAGGCCAAGGGAGGAGGATCACTTGAGTCCAGGAGTTTGAGACCAGCCTGGGCAACATAATGAGACCCTGTATCTACAAAAAATTAAAAAATTAGCCAGGCATACTGGTGTAAACCTGTAGTCTCAGAGGCTGAGGCTGAAATGAGAAGATAACTTGAGCCCAGGAGGTTGAGGCTGCAGTGAGCCATGATTGCGCCACTGCACTGTAGCCTGGGCAACAGTGTGAGACCCTGTCTCAAAAAAAAAAAAAAAAAAAAATCAATCATTTCAAAAGAAGACAACATTAAAAATAAAAGAACAGGGAGGAGCCAAGATGGCCGAATAGGAACAGCTCCGGTCTACAGCTCCCAGCGTGAGCGACGCAGAAGACGGGTGATTTCTGTATTTCCATCTGAGGTACCGGGTTCATCTCACTAGGGAGTGCCAGACAGTGGGCGCAGGCCAGTGTGTGTGCGCACCGTGCGCGAGCCGAAGCAGGGCGAGACATTGCCTCACCTGGGAAGCGCAAGGGGTCAGGGAGTTCCCTTTCCGAGTCAAAGAAAGGGGTGACGGACGCACCTGGAAAATCGGGTCACTCCCACCCGAATATTGCGCTTTTCAGACCGGCTTAAGAAACGGCGCACCACGAGACTATATCCCACACCTGGCTCAGAGGGTCCTACGCCCACGGAATCTCGCTGATTGCTAGCACAGCAGTCTGAGATCAAACTGCAAGGCGGCAACGAGGCTGGGGGAGGGGCGCCCGCCATTGCTCAGGCTTGCTTAGGTAAACAAAGCAGCCGGGAAGCTCGAACTGGGTGGAGCCCACCACAGCTCAAGGAGGCCTGCCTGCCTCTGTAGGCTCCACCTCTGGGGGCAGGGCACAGACAAACAAAAAGACAGCAGTAACCTCTGAGACTTAAGTGTCCCTGTCTGACAGCTTTGAAGAGAGCAGTGGTTCTCCCAGCACACAGCTGGAGATCTGAGAACGGGCAGACTGCCTCCTCAAGTGGGTCCCTGACCCGTGACCCCCGAGCAGCCTAACTGGGAGGCACCCCCCAGCAGGGGCACACTGACACCTCACACAGCAGGGTATTCCAACAGACCTGCAGCTGAGGGTCCTGTCTGTTAGAAGGAAAACTAACAACCAGAAAGGACATCTACACCGAAAACCCATCTGTACATCACCATCATCAAAGACCAAAAGTAGATAAAACCACAAAGATGGGGAAAAAACAGAACAGAAAAACTGGAAACTCTAAAATGCAGAGCGCCTCTCCTCCTCCAAAGGAACGCAGTTCCTCACCAGCAACAGAACAAAGCTGGATGGAGAATGATTTTGACGAGCTGAGAGAAGAAGGCTTCAGACGATCAAATTACTCTGAGCTACGGGAGGACATTCAAACCAAAGGCAAAGAAGTTGAAAACTTTGAAAAAAATTTAGAAGAATGTATAACTAGAATAACCAATACAGAGAAGTGCTTAAAGGAGCTAATGGAGCTGAAAACCAAGGCTCGAGAACTACGTGAAGAATGCAGAAGCCTCAGGAGCCGATGCGATCAACTGGAAGAAAGGGTATCAGCAATGGAAGATGAAATGAATGAAATGAAGCGAGAAGGGAAGTTTAGAGAAAAAAGAATAAAAAGAAATGAGCAAAGCCTCCAAGAAATATGGGACTATGTGAAAAGACCAAATCTACGTCTGATTGGTGTACCTGAAAGTGATGTGGAGAATGGAACCAAGTTGGAAAACACTCTGCAGGATATTATCCAGGAGAACTTCCCCAATCTAGCAAGGCAGGCCAACGTTCAGATTCAGGAAATACAGAGAACGCCACAAAGATACTCCTCGAGAAGAGCAACTCCAAGACACATAATTGTCAGATTCACCAAAGTTGAAATGAAGGAAAAAATGTTAAGGGCAGCCAGAGAGAAAGGTCGGGTTACCCTCAAAGGAAAGCCCATCAGACTAACAGCGGATCTCTCAGCAGAAACCCTACAAGCCAGAAGAGAGTGGGGGCCAATATTCAACATTCTTAAAGAAAAGAATTTTCAACCCAGAATTTCATATCCAGCCAAGCTAAGCTTCATAAGTGAAGGAGAAATAAAATACTTTATAGACAAGCAAATGCTGAGAGATTTTGTCACCACCAGGCCTGCCCTAAAAGAGCTCCTGAAGGAAGCGCTAAACATGGAAAGGAACAACCGGTACCAGCCGCTGCAAAATCATGCCAAAATGTAAAGACCATCGAGACTAGGAAGAAACTGCATCAACTAACCAGCAAAATAACCAGCTAACATCATAATGACAGGATCAAATTCACACATAACAATATTAACTTTAAATATAAATGGACTAAATTCTGCAATTAAAGGACACAGACTGGCAAGTTGGATAAAGAGTCAAGACCCATCAGTGTGCTGTATTCAGGAAACCCATCTCACGTGCAGAGACACACATAGGCTCAAAATAAAAGGATGGAGGAAGATCTACCAAGCAAATGGAAAACAAAAAAAGGCAGGGGTTGCAATCCTAGTCTCTGATAAAACAGACTTTAAACCAACACAGATCAAAAAAGACAAAGAAGGCCATTACATAATGGTAAAGGGATCAATTCAACAAGAGGAGCTAACTATCCTAAATATTTATGCACCCAATACAGGAGCACCCAGATTCATAAAGCAAGTCCTGAGTGACCTACAAAGAGACTTAGACTCCCACACATTAATAATGGGAGACTTTAACACCCCACTGTCAACATTAGACAGATCAACGAGACAGAAAGTCAACAAGGATACCCAGGAATTGAACTCAGCTCTGCACCAAGCAGACCTAATAGACATCTACAGAACTCTCCACCCCAAATCAACAGAATATACATTTTTTTCAGCACCACACCACACCTATTCCAAAATTGACCACATAGTTGGAAGTAAAGCTCTCCTCAGCAAATGTAAAAGAACAGAAATTATAACAAACTATCTCTCAGACCACAGTGCAATCAAACTAGAACTCAGGATTAAGAATCTCACTCAAAGCCGCTCAACTACATGGAAACTGAACAACCTGCTCCTGAATGACTACTGGGTACATAACGAAATGAAGGCAGAAATAAAGATGTTCTTTGAAACCAACGAGAACAAAGACACCACATACCAGAATCTCTGGGACGCATTGAAAGCAGTGTGTAGAGGGAAATTTATAGCACTAAATGCCTACAAGAGAAAGCAGGAAAGATCCAAAATTGACACCCTAACATCACAATTAAAAGAACTAGAAAAGCAAGAGCAAACACATTCAAAAGCTAGCAGAAGGCAAGAAATAACTAAAATCAGAGCAGAACTGAAGGAAATAGAGACACAAAAAACCCTTCAAAAAATCAATGAATCCAGGAGCTGGTTCTTTGAAAGGATCAACAAAATTGATAGACCGCTAGCAAGACTAATAAAGAAAAAAAGAGAGAAGAATCAAATAGACACAATAAAAAATGATAAAGGGGATATCACCACCGATCCCACAGAAATACAAACTACCATCAGAGAATACTACAAACACCTCTACGCTAATAAACTAGAAAATCTAGAAGAAATGGATACATTCCTCGACACATACACTCTCCCAAGACTAAACCAGGAAGAAGTTGAATCTCTGAATAGACCAATAACAGGCTCTGAAATTGTGGCAATAATCAATAGTTTACCAACCAAAAAGAGTCCAGGACCAGATGGATTCACAGCCGAATTCTACCAGAGGTACAAGGAGGAACTGGTACCATTCCTTCTGAAGCTATTCCAATCAATAGAAAAAGAGGGAATCCTCCCTAACTCATTTTATGAGGCCAGCATCATTCTGATACCAAAGCCGGGCAGAGACACAACCAAAAAAGAGAATTTTAGACCAATATCCTTGATGAACATTGATGCAAAAATCCTCAATAAAATACTGGCAAACCGAATCCAGCAGCACATCAAAAAGCTTATCCACCATGATCAAGTGGGCTTCATCCCTGGGATGCAAGGCTGGTTCAATATACGCAAATCAATAAATGTAATCCAGCATATAAACAGAGCCAAAGACAAAAACCACATGATTATCTCAATAGATGCAGAAAAAGCCTTTGACAAAATTCAACAACCCTTCATGCTAAAAACTCTCAATAAATTAGGTATTGATGGGATGTATTTCAAAATAATAAGAGCTATCTATGACAAACCCACAGCCAATATCATTCTGAATGGGCAAAAACTGGAAACATTCCCTTTGAAAACTGGCACAAGACAGGGATGCCCTCTCTCACCGCTCCTATTCAACATAGTGTTGGAAGTTCTGGCCAGGGCAATCAGGCAGGAGAAGGAAATAAAGGGTATTCAATTAGGAAAAGAGGAAGTCAAATTGTCCCTGTTTGCAGACGACATGATTGTTTATCTAGAAAACCCCATCGTCTCAGCCCAAAATCTCCTTAAGCTGATAAGCAACTTCAGCAAAGTCTCAGGATACAAAATCAATGTACAAAAATCACAAGCATTCTTATACACCAACAACAGACAAACAGAGAGCCAAATCATGAGTGAACTCCCATTCACAATTGCTTCAAAGAGAATAAAATACCTAGGAGTCCAACTTACAAGGGACATGAAGGACCTCTTCAAGGAGAACTACAAACCACTGCTCAAGGAAATAAAAGAGGACACAAACAAATGGAAGAACATTCCATGCTCATGGGTAGGAAGAATCAATATTGTGAAAATGGCCATACTGCCCAAGGTAATTTACAGATTCAATGCCATCCCCATCAAGCTACCAATGACTTTCTTCACAGAATTGGAAAAAACTACTTTAAAGTTCATATGGAACCAAAAAAGAGCCCGCATCGCCAAGTCAATCCTAAGCAAAAGAACAAAGCTGGAGGCATCACACTACCTGACTTCAAACTATACTACAAGGCTACAGTAACCAAAACAGCATGGTACTGGTACCAAAACAGAGATATAGATCAATGGAACAGAACAGAGCCCTCAGAAATAATGCCACATATCTACAACTATCTGATCTTTGACAAACCTGAGAAAAACAAGCAATGGGGAAAGGATTCCCTATTTAATAAATGGTGCTGGGAAAACTGGCTAGCCATATGTAGAAAGCTGAAACTGGATCCCTTCCTTACACCTTATACAAAAATTAATTCAAGATGGATTAAAGATTTAAACGTTAGACCTAAAACCATAAAAACCCTAGAAGAAAACCTAGGCATTACCATTCAGGACATAGGCGTGGGCAAGGACTTCATGTCCAAAACACCAAAAGCAATGGCAACAAAAGCCAAAATTGACAAATGGGATCTAATTAAACTAAAGAGCTTCTGCACAGCAAAAGAAACTACCATCAGAGTGAACAGGCAACCTACAACATGGGAGAAAATTTTCGCAACCTACTCATCTGACAAAGGGCTAATATCCAGAATCTACAATGAACTCAAACAAATTTACAAGAAAAAAGCAAACAACCCCATCAAAAAGTGGGCGAAGGACATGAACAGACACTTCTCAAAAGAAGACATTTATGCAGCCAAAAAACACATGAAGAAATGCTCATCATCACTGGCCATCAGAGAAATGCAAACCAAAACCACTATGAGATGTCATCTCACACCAGTTAGAATGGCAATCATTAAAAAGTCAGGAAACAACAGGTGCTGGAGAGGATGTGGAGAAATAGGAACACTTTTACACTGTTGGTGGGACTGTAAACTAGTTCAACCATTGTGGAAGTCAGTGTGGCGATTCCTCAGGGATCTAGAACTAGAAATACCATTTGACCCAGCCATCCCATTACTGGGTATATACCCAAAGGACTATAAATCATGCTGCTATAAAGACACATGCACACGTATGTTTATTGCGGCACTATTCACAATAGCAAAGACTTGGAACCAACCCAAATGTCCAACAATGATAGACTGGATTAAGAAAATGTGGCACATATACACCATGGAATACTATGCAGCCATAAAAAATGATGAGTTCATGTCCTTTGTAGGGACATGGATGAAACTGGAAACCATCATTCTCAGTAAACTATCGCAAGAACAAAAAACCAAACACCGCATATTCTCACTCATAGGTGGGAACTGAACAATGAGATCACTTGGACACAGGAAGCGGAATATCACACTCTGGGGACTGTGGTGGGGTCGGGGGAGGGGGGAGGGATAGCATTGGGAGTTATACCTAATGCTAGATGACACGTTAGTGGGTGCAGCGCACCAGCATGGCACATGTATACATATGTAACTAACCTGCACAATGTGCACATGTACCCTAAAACTTAGAGTATAATAAGAAAAAAAAAAAAATTAAAAAAAAAAAAAATGAAAGAACAGATGGAATAAGTAGAAAACAAATAGCAAGGTGCTAAACTTAGAACCAACTATATCATCACTATATTAAGTATAAATTGTTGAAACACTCAGATTAAAAGGCTTTTTTGTTTTCATCAGACTGATAAAAACCCAATAAACAACTCCAGGGGTTGGCAAACTTTTTATTAAAAGGACACATTATAACTATTTTAAGATTAAGGTCCATACTGTTTCTGTCACAACTACTCAACTCTCTTATCAGAGATCAAAATGTAAACAAGTAGGTATGTCTATGTTCCAATAAAACTTTATTTGCAAAATAAGCAATTGGCTTTTTGTAGGGGGTTAGATATAGGGGGTAGACTCCTGCTATACTAAATAGAAGGAGTGCATTTTAAATATAAAAACACAGGTAGGTTAAAAGTTAAAGGATGTGTTAAATATACCATGCAAACACTAATAATCAGAAAGTCAAGGTGGCTAAAATAATATGAGAAAAAGTATATGTCTGGACAAGTGTTTTAACAGAGATAAAGAGGAAATTTTATAATAAGATAGTTCAAGAGGATTTATTCTCCTAAATGTATATCCACTTAACAATAGATCTTAAAAATATATGAAGCAAAAACTGGTAAGAGTTGAAAGAAGAAATAGACAATTCCACAATTATAGTTAGATATTTCAACCTTCCTCTCCCATAAATGGTTATAACAAGTAAACAGAAACCAATAAGAAAATAGAAACCTTCAACAACACTAAAAACTAACCTGACCGAATTGACATTTGTAGAACATATGCCTAATAACAACAGAATACACATTTTTTTCACTGTGTATAGAACATTAATCATGATAGAACATATGCTGGCCCATGAAAATCAATAAATTTTTAAAGATTGAAGTCATCCAGAGTATGTTCTCTGAACAAAACAGAATTAAGTTATAATCCAATACCAAAAAAGCAGGAAAACCTCTCGATATTTGGAAATTAAACAGCACACTTCTAAACTTATGCGTCAAGAAAAAATTCACCAGAGAAATTAGAAAATATCTTGAACTGAATTGTGATGAAACCACAACATAAAATGTAAAATGCAACTAACACATGGCTTAGAAAGAAATTTGTAATTTTAAAAATAAAAGCAAATTAAACTAACCAAAGTAACAAGGCAACAACAAGGAAATAACATAAGGAATGGATGGGAAGTCATTAAAATAGCAGGTGGGAGATCTTGATGATGACAGCCCTCAAGCTGAGTAACAACTTGTTGCAGTCTGGCCTGGCTGTTATCTTTGCACAGGTATCATTGGTATCACTTATCCTCTTACATGACGATTTCCTTTCTCCTATGTTGAAACTCATGTTTCTTAATCTTTTGTTTTTTTCCTTAATTTGCCGTCTCATTTTTTGGAGCAAGTCCTCCAGGAAGTTCTTGAGAAAGAATGTATAGGAGGTAATTTTTTGTAATAGTTCCATTTCTCATTGTTTTAAATTTCCATGGATGTTAGATCTTTCCACTACGGTTTCATTTATATTGCCGTAATCTGTTATGACTAGTGTAGGTAATTAGAAGTAGCTATTTTAAAATATTTTTGTGCCACTACTAAAAAAAAATGGTTTCCTTTATGTAATGCCTATAACTATATGAGGGAAGCATTCTGAAAGAGTCCCTTTCATAAGAAAGAAAATTCCAGAAGACATTGGTATTAAAAGAATCAATCTCTTAGGTAAGCTTTGTTACTCAGAATTGTGTTTACCAAAATAGGTACATCTCCATTTGTGTCTATTTCTTCTATGTAAAATTAAAATTTTTGTCATCAGCAATAACAGTATGACTTAGTATCTTTAAAACTTGGTGTCTTTTATGAAATGCAAGAATGTAGATCATATGGTAACCTAGCTTACCAAATGGGAAATCCGTGAGCCAGAGCTAGCCATGATTCCTCTTGTTATTTTCTATGAATTTGAATGAAAATTGCCTAATTCATTCATGTTTGGGATTATTTTATTGTGTCAGACAAAGTAGGCTCTTTTATAAGCAAAGGGAGTGGGGGTGCCATTTGCACTGGTGTGTGTGTGTGTGTGTATAAACAAATCTGTATGTAATATAGATTGTATAGCATTTGGTGTACCTCCATCCACATGTGCCAAAATTGGAAAATTAATATATCTCACTTGAACAAAAGTATGGCAACTTATATTTGCCAAAACCAGCTACAGAAATATTCCAGATCCCACATGCTCTTTATATTCTTTATACTCTCCCATCAAGAGGTAGATTCCATTTCCCCTCCTCCTGAAATTTGGCTTCTTTGACCAATAGAATATGGTGGAAGTGACTCTAGGTAGCTTCAAAGGCTTAGGCATAAAAGGCAATCCCGTTCTGCTAGGATCTCTCTCAGAATACTCACCCTTGAAATCCCAGTCCCCATATTGTGAGGAAGACTGAGCCACGTGAGAGGCTGCAACCACACCAAGCATGTGATGGAGCAAGTTTTCAGACGATTTCAGTTCCCAGCCTTAAAGGTGCCCCAGCTGGTACCAAGTGGAGCAGAGACAAACTATCCCTGCTGAACTCTGCCTAAATTTTTAAACAAACTAATGATTGTTTGTTATGCAGCAGTAATTAATTAGGACAAAAAAAGGTTCTGTTTCCAGGTAAGTTTGGAAAGTACCACATTAAAGAACAGCAAAGGAAGTTTCCTTCCTGCAAGAAAGCCTTCAGTGTGCTAATGTGTGTAATGGTCTCCAAGATCATATAGCATACACTTTGCAAAGAGCATGTTAGTTCTATATTCCATGGAACTTAACTTGGGAAACCCTTCTCCATATTCATTATTTTAATGGTTACGTATTCTATTAATAAAGTATGATGCTTCATTCTTCTGTGCTTGAACATTTAGGTTACTTATAACATTTTGCTGTTATATGTGATTTAGTGTTTTCTTTCTTTTATTTATTTCCTTAGGCACTATTCTTTGGAGTAGAATTACTGTGTCATAGCATCTGAGGTTTTTTTTTTTGTTTTTTTTTTTGTTTTTTTTTTTTGAGACAAAGTTTTGCTCTTTTTACCCAGGCTGGAGTACAATGGTATGATCTCGCCTAACTGCAACCTCCACCTCCCGGGTTCAAGCGATTCTCCTGCCTCAGCCTCCAGAGTAAACTGAAATTACAGGGACCCACCACCATGCCCAGCTAATTGTTGTGTTTTTAGTAGAAATGAGGTTTCACCATGTTGGCCAGGCTGGTCTCAAACTCCTGACCTCAGGTGATCTCCCCGCCTCAGCCTCCCAAAGTGAAATTCTTAATGACTGGCTACACTAACTTATGAATGCCATAATCAATACAGATTTTTTCTCCAGAGTCTTGATAGCTATTAACATTTTCCTCTTTTTTTCACTAAAACATAAAATGGAAATATAATTGTTTTGATTTGAATTTAATGTCTATCAAGATTGCATCTTTTTTATTGCCTTCGTATGTGTCTGTAGATCCAACATGTTTATCACCACAACTACCTGAGTTCTAATGGTCCCAAGACAACTCTACCACCAAATTTCTACCTTTGTTTCTCAATGTCTCTGTGCATTGGCTTCCTCTGTAAATGGGAATACAAAAATTACCTGTTTCAGGTTGTTACAAGGAGTAAAGGAAATAATGTACATAAAGCATTTGGTGAGGTTTTATATATTATGATATCATAATATATAAAGAACAATAAATAAGTCTAGGTTTTCTCCTATAGATGAGTTACAGTGATTTTTACATGTTTTCATAGTAAGTTCATCATATATATTAGATATAAGCACTTTGTTTTATTTTTTATTGTCATTTTTCTTATCTTTTGATTTCATTCTATGAAAGTTATAAATATTTATAATGAAATGGCAAGGAAAAAAGCTTATAAATGTTCATATGATAACTTCTGCTTCTTAATGGTTAAAAGTACATTCCATCTACCTATGAAATTAAAATATTCTTCTATAAATTATTCCATCAAGAAAGCATCGTGCTATGAGCTATATTAAACACAGGGATCATAAGAGGACATGATGACTTTCCTAGAGTAGCTTCTAATCTGGTCTAAGAGGAGGATTGTATTGTTCAGGGTTCTCCAGAGAAACAGTAGGGGGGAATATATATATGTATGTATGTGTATATGTATGTATGTGTATATGTATATATCTGTGTATATTATATATATATGAATATATCATATATGTATTTATGCATGTATATGTACATTTATAGAAATTTATTTCAAGATATTGGCTTAAGCAACTAAGGGACTGGCAAGTATTAAATTTGTAAGGAAGGCCACAGGCTGAAAACTCTCGGGCAGGAGCTGATCCTGCAGTCTTGAAGCAAAATTTCTTCTTCAAGTATATCTCAGCTTTGCTCTTAAGGCCTTTCAACTGAGTAGATGAGGCTCATTCAGATTGTGGAAGATAATCTCCTTTACCTAAAGTCAGCTGATTGTAGGTATTAACCCCAGTATTGTTTAACTGAATAACCGGGTACTCTAGCCTATCCAATTGGGGCAGAAAACTAACCATCACAAAGGCAAATAATATGGCAGACTTTTAACAGTAATTTTCATATTAATACATTTCAGCACTTCAATACTAAGTCATTCTTTAAATTGTGGCCTTTAATAAATAAACAAATAAAATGAATAAACTAATATGTTGAAAGGGAAAAGATGGCCAGGCACGGTGGCTCATGTCTATAATCTAACCACTTTGGGAGGCCGAGGTGGATGGATCACTTGAGGCCAGAGTTTGAGACCAGCCTGGGCATGATGGTGAAACCTCATCTCTACAAAAAATAGCTTGGCATTGTGGCTTATACCTGTGGTCCCAAGTTACCCTAGTGGCTGAGGTGGGAGGATCACTTAAGCCCAGGAAGTTGAGGCTGCAGTGAGCCAAGATTGCGCCACTGTACTCCAGCCTGGGTGACAGAGTAAGACCCTGTCTCAAAAAAAAAAAGAAAAGATTTGTTTTCAATATAAATGTCATGGATTTCTTTATTATCCCAGCTCTCTATAACATATATCCTATGAGTGTCTCTCTACAAAAAGAAACTATCATATGCGGTATACAAAGTATGACTAAGAAATAAAGTGATTTGATTTTTAAACTACTACATCATGCCATCCAAATGAATGTTAAGTCTTCCAAAATAATCATCTTAGGAAGCTGTACATTTATCTTATGATAGAAAAATTCCTTAATCGTTTGCATATCCTCTTTTAAAATTACCTCCTCAATCTGAAGTGCATTATTTTGACTATATTGATAGTTTCCTCACCTTCTTTAAACTTTTGCTCAAATGTTACTTCCTCAGTAAGAATTACTCTGACCATTCTATTTTAAATTGCAGTCCCCCCCTTACCTTGCTTTCTTTTTCCCCCCTAAGATTTAAATTTTCTAATGCATATGTAATCTACATATTTATTGTCTGCCCACACTAGAAACTACGCAACACCGAGGCAGGGTTTTTGCAATCTAATAGAGGTACTTTCTCAAAGAGTTTGTAGATATACAATCCAGTTTTTATAAAAATGTAGCACTTAAAAGCAAGTCTAATTCAGACTTAAGTTGTTTTTGAACAGAAATGTGATCTGGGGCTGGGCGCGGTGGCTCATGCCTGTAATCCCAGCACTTTGGGAGCCCCAGGCAGGCAGATCATGAGGTCAGGAGATTGAGACCACCCTGGCTAACACAGTGAAACTCCATCTCTGCTAAAACTACAAAAAAAATTAGCTGGGCATGGTGGCGGGCGCCTGTGGTCCCAGCTACTCGGGAGGCTGAGACGGGAGAATGGCGTGAGCCTAGGAG
The DNA here is from genome assembly GCF_000001405.40 of Homo sapiens. Taxonomy (NCBI): domain Eukaryota; kingdom Metazoa; phylum Chordata; class Mammalia; order Primates; family Hominidae; genus Homo; species Homo sapiens. The sequence goes on from NC_000002.12 coordinate 148,200,623, forward strand.
GCAGAGCTTGCAGTGAGCCGATATCACGCCACTTCGCTCCAGCCTGGGTGACAGAGCGAGACTCTATCTCAAAAAAAAAAAAAAAAAGAAATGTAATCTGGTTTCAACACAGAAAAAAAAAGACATTATACGTATACTGATGACTTTTAAAAATACTTCGCACATCATTAAGGAACACTTTAAATGTAAGAACTTCTAAAGAAGTTCTTCTGATCTAAATAGTTGGCCTTTGTATACTTTATTTTAACCTATTAAGGCACTTTTTTAAAAAGCTGCTTTAAAACTTTTTTTAAAATTCATCATTGGAAACATGATCCATTTATTTATTTGTTAATTCATTCATTTAAAAATAAAGCAAAGTTGTGTACCAACCATCTGCCAGGGATTATTCTAGAGATGCAGTATTTTTCTTGATTACTTTGCCAACCGGAGACCTCTGGCCAATGATGCCCCTCCCCAGGCCTTGCTCAGGCCTGGGCTTGCCACAGGAGATGCCCTGTTTACTTGACACACCAGGCCATGCCTGGCTTGCCCCCCAGCATGGATCCCACGGCTCCTGCAACTGCGTGCTCAGTCCCTGGCAGGAGGAGATGTGTGTGCCAGTGAATGCAGGGTCTGGCTGGCCATTCCAAGCACTGGCACAAGAGTGGGCTCCACATGGGGCTTGTTCCTGGACCAGGTGTGTTGCAAGTGACTCCCACAGTGGGCTCTGGTCTCCGGACGAGGGAAACACAGGGACACCCAAGCAGGGGTACCCACGACCCTGAAGCCCCAGAGGGGGATGTTACAGCATGCTAATGACCTCTTTTAGTCCCATTGTCTGCAGCCCGACAGACAGAGGCGCCTTAACAACTCTGTCAGCCCGGTTGCCCTGCTCTAGCCTGCACCTCCAGGGCTGCCTTGGCCTTGCTGCTGCTTCTTGTCATATGGGATGGCTGCCCTCTGCTGGCAGAGGGCCACAGTGTTACAGCCTTCTGTGTACCCGCGTTCAGTCGGTCCGAAGTTCTTGTCCTGCATCCAAGAAGAATGAGGTTATGCTGACAATCAAAGGGTGAGAAGGGTGGAGAAAAATTTTATTAAGTGACGAAACAGCTCTCAGTGGAGAGGGGATGCAAGAGTGGTCCCCCACCTGAAGTTGGGTGGTTTCTCTCTCAGTGTGGCTGGATCTGAGGCTTTTATGGGCTCAGACTGGGGGAGTGTGTGCTGATTGGTTTGTGAGTATGCAAAAAAGGCTAAAACAAAGGCTCAAGGGGCACAACAGTGTAGAAAACAAATTAGGAAAGGGTAGGTACATGTAAAATAAGTGAAGGGTAGGGATGAATCGGAGGAAAGCATGCCAAACAGGAAGAGAAGTTCTCAGTCCGGTCCTTGGATTTACCTGAGATTTGTAGCTAGGCTTTAAACTGTCATTGGCTTGAAGGTTGGGTTTCACTGGCCCTGCCTCTATCTGCCTAGGCATTTGACTGCCTCCTGCCACTATCACTAGGAGCTGGCATAAACAGTGAAGGAGATGGAGTCCTTGCCTGCATGGAGCTTACTACCTTATTAGGGAAGACAAACAATAAACAAGTAAATAATTACATAATATAATTTCAAAATATGATATGTTCTAAAGAGAAAAATAAAGCATGGTAAATAGATAGAAGGTAATTGGGTTTGGAATTGGAAGTCCTATTTTGATAAAGTGGTCAGGGAGGCCTTCCCTGAGGTAGTGATATTCAAGCAGAAACTTCCAAGTTGATGGAAGTGGTGAGCAATGTCTAGAAGAGTGACCTAGGCAGCAGAATGGAACAGCAAATGTAAAGACTGTTGATTCAGCAAAAACAATTGTACTTGAGGCTCAACAAGAAATCTAGTCTGCTGGTATGGAGAAAGTGGGAGAAAGAGTGGTTTGAAATGAGGTTGAAGGGATTACAAGGCCAGAAATGTAAGGGGCTTATAGATCATATTAAAGAATTAAAAATTTAGGTTTAATTTTAATCACAAAGAGAAACTATTAGTGAGTTTTGCACTTGGGATTGATGTGATTTGAGAAATTTAAAACATCTTTGGAACATATATTGGATTTTTTTAGAGGTAACTTCAATGGTAAATAACTTTTTTGTTTAAAAAGCAGTTCTTTAGGCCAGGTGTGGTGGTTCATGCCAGTAATCTCACCACTTTGGTAGGCTGAGGTGGGAGGATCACTTGAGGTCAGGAGTTCGAGACCAACCTGGCCAACATAGTGAGAACCCATCTCTTAAATAAATAAATAATAAAAAGCAACTCTTTAAAAGCTGTAAAATAGACTGGCCAACATAGTGAAACCAGTCTCTACTAGAAATACAAAAAAATTAGCCAGATGTGGTGGCAGGCACCTGTAATACCAGGTACTCAGGAGGCTGAAGCAGGAGAATCGCTTGAACTTGGGAGGTGGAGGTTGCACTGAGCCAAGATCGCGCCATTGCACTCTAGCCCAGGCAACATCACGAGACTCCATCTCAAAAAAAAAAAAAAAAAGCTGTAAACTAATGAATTTTTAATTTTTTACCATAACAATTTTTAATGATTAGGAAAGTTCACAAATGAAATTAAAAGGCACTAATGAAATTAAAAGGAAACCTGGGAACTAATATTTGGTACATGCAACAAAGAAGATGCTGATTTTCTTAACATGCAAAGAGTTGTAACAATTAAATGTGGGAAAGATGGCCTATTTGCATAAAAGACCTGAAAATGCAGTTTATCAGAGAAGAAATGCAAATGGCTAATAAACCTGTAAAAATAATTTTCCACCCATTCCCTTGCACTCTGATGACATTTTTCTAGTGCTCGCTTGATGTCTGTGTGTTTTGCTATTCTTTTTATTCTTTTCCTGAATTATCTTTGTTATTACTACTGTTCTTCTTCTGTTGCTCATGACAGAATATAATGGTTTTACCTAGCTACCTATTTTCAAGAGGTGCGTGTGCATTAGGAAGGAGGGTCAAGGAAAGGGTGGGTTCACATTATTGTTGCAATTTTGCAAGTCTTCACAAGAAGGTAATCTCCGCTGCAACAGAAACAAAATACTTCCTATGAGGATGGCTTGTCTGTGGATCCTTTATGTAGCCCTGTCTTTTATGCTTCTCTAAAGCTGAGTCTAGCAAGATTCTGCTGACAACTCATCTCACCTTTGTTCCCATACTTGTGATTATAAGCAATACCTGTAGCAACATAAGGTATGTTATGTGTACGATCAGAGAATAGATTGTGGACATCATTTTCTTGGATCTACACTGCAGAGCCCTTTACCATGGATAAATTTCTCCAAGACTGCTTCTGTTCATGTATTTTCATGTGGCTCCTTCTAATTTTGCATCCCCTTTTGCCTATTTTAGAGTATAAGGGTCAAACCTGAACTCTAATTTTGCTGAAAATATAATGCTTAACTTTCTTCAGGAAGAAAGAAAAGGAGAGAGGGAAAGAATGGGAGAAAAGAGAAGAGAAAAAATGAATAAAGCAATCACCTTTGTTGGAAAAACCTACAATCCAGAAAGCAAGGACTCTGGAAAAGACATCATGAAACAATAGTAGAAGATGAATTATGAGCTGGCCAAACTTAGGAAAAAAGGATTTATTTCAAATATGAAATTGGAAGGAGCACAAGAAAGGCTAGACATCATGGAAAGCACCTTAAGGAATATTGTGGATTAAAATGTGAAGAATGAATAAAATAAACCAAAGAAAAAAAAGATTAGAAATAAAATTTTGTGAATGTATATAGATAGACTGAGACAGAGAAAGACACAAAAGAAAACCAAAAGAGTAGAAAAGAATGAATTATTTAAAGATAAGACTCAATAATAATTTAAAATATAATTTTGATCTACATATTGAAAGAGCATACCATGGACCAGGGAAAGTTGACCTAGAACTGTCAATACTGAGACATGTCCTCATAAAATTTCTGTACATTAAACATGAAGAAAGAATAGTCAGGTCAATAATAGAAGGGGAAAAAGTCAGACTTGTGTCTGTCTTATCCACATCAACATTTAGTACCAGTTGCCAGTGGAGTAACAGCTACAGGATCTTATAGAAAGGAAAGTGTTTAATATTTTAAATTTAGCCCAAATGTCTTCAAGTTTAAATACTAAAGACAGTTTTGAACTCAACAAATATAAAGACAGTTTTGAACTCAAGAAATACTTTTTGAAAACATTCTTAGAAAATGAGCTACTGCCAATCAGATATAAATAAACAGGAAAATTATCATAGAAGGTCTGTCAGCAAGCATTGAAAGGATTTAACTGTAAAAGAAAGACTAAAATGTGGGAATTAGAGCTAAAGAACAAAATGTAGACACTATATATAAATATAAATATAAAATGTTTACTAAAATTCCCTAAAAATAAAATATATTCCCTAAAAATATACCACTTCTACCTGTTTTCTCCACTTTTTTTCCCCAGTCTTTACAATTGTCTTATTATTTTTATTTTATTTTTTTTTGAGACAAGTCTCTCTCTGTTGCCCTGGCTAGAGTGCAGTGGCGTAATCTCGGCTCACTGTAACCTCCACTTCCCAGGTTCAAGCGATTCTCCTGCCTCTGCCTCCCAAGTAGCTGGGGATTACAGGCACCCCCCACCACACCTGGCTAATTTATTTTTATTTTTTTGTATTTTTAGTAGAGACGGGGTTTTACCATGTTGGCCATGCTGGTCTCAAACTCCTGACCTCAGGTGATCCGCCTACCTTGGCTTCCCAAATTGCTGGGATTACAGGCGTGGACTAATTTTCTCATCTTTAATACTTGGAAGTCAAAGAATATCAATTAAAGCTGACAAAAAATAAAAGTATCAGCATAATTTAACAATACAAGGAAAAATAGTGAAAAACATTAACTGAAATATGATGAATGAAAGAAAAAGGGCAGAGTAATAGAAAGCATGCAAATATTATAATTGCTTATAACAGTGAACTAATAGATTTTGAATACAGAAATAAGGACAGATATAAATTACATGTTTATTTGTAAAAACAAAGTTGCATAAAATTATAAACATAACCACTGGAACAAAGATACAGAGAAATTACCCATGGAGAAAAATAGGATAAACAGTACCAATGATATTTTTGTTTAAAAATATGTAGAAAATAGGCAGGCTGCAATGGCTCATGCCTGTAATCCCAGCACTGTTGGAGGCCAAGGCAGACGTATCCCTTGAGCCCAGGAGTTTGAGAACAGTCAGGGCAACATGGCAAAACCCTGCCTGTACAAAAATACAAAAATCAGCCAGTGATCCCAGCGACTTGGGAGGCTGAGGTGGGAGGATCACTTGAGCCCGGGAGTTCGAGACCACCCTGGGCAACATGGCGAAACCCCAGCTCTACAAAAAATACAAAAATTAGCTGGTGGACCCAGTGACTTGGGATGCTGAGGTTGGGAGGATTGATTGAGCCTGTGAAGTGGAGGTTGCAGCAAGCCGAGATCGCGTCACTGCACTCCAACTTGTGCAACAAGAGTGAGACCCTGTCTCAAAAAAAAAAAAAATAGAGAGACACACACACACTTGTATATGTAGACATATATATTATATACACACGCATATATATGTATACAGAGAGAAAACAAAATAACAGAATGAAGAACAATTCTTTCTGTTAGATGCCCACTGTCACATTATCATTTAACATTTTACTAAGGGGAATCAGCCAAGAGAAAAATTAATGTAAGTGGATTTTAAAAACATGTTTTGTTGAAACATAATTATACACATTTATGGGGTACATATGATGTTTTGATACATGTATACAGTGAATAATGATCAAATCAGGGTAATTGGGATATCCACCACCTCAAATGTTTACCATTTCTTTGGGTTAGAAACATTTCAAACCTTCTCTTCTAGCTATTTTGAAATATACAACAAAATATTCCTATTTTGCTATTGAACCCTAGAACTTATTCCTTCTATCTAATGGTATTTTTGTACCCGTTAACCAGTCTCTCTCCATCTCCCCTCCCCACTGCCTTCCCAACCTCTCACTTTTTAAAAAGTAGATTTCTGACCAAATCATAGAGCACTCTATTCTCTGATATGTTTAAAAGATACAATAAAGTATCTTATAAATGTCAAAACATAAAGATGAAAAGCCAGATAAAGGTAAGCAAGGTATTTATATTAGACCAGAGAAATTCAGTCAACAAAAATGTTAAGTGAGGTGAACACAGTCTCATTGTGAATACACATGAAGATGAAGCAGTTATGAATATCTACAGGTTAAATAGCATGGCATCAATAATTGGAAAGACAATGCACGTACCATTGAAAATAGTCAGAAACACTGAATACAGGTTCAGCTGCTTGCTGTTTGCAAAACCAAATTACAAGGACAAAGTTCAGTGGAAGAAAAGTGACTTTATTTCCAAAGTAGCATTGGGGAAATGGTCTAGACTTCCTGCCTTAAAGAAACCATTTCAAATTTTTGGCCAGAATACAACAAGTTAAAAGTGAAATTTGGTATGAAGGATGTGCAGGAGGGGCAAGGAGGTACAGGACCACGTAACTTGCTTCAGTGCTTTATTATGTGCTATTGTCCAATCTGGTAAATGGGCTAGCATTATCTTGAGCATATATAGGTTGTAAATTAACTGTACACTCACATAATCTCTTGTTGGGAGAAAATTGCATAGGTACCTGGATTGTCTCAAGATTCAATCACAGAAACTTCTAAGCAGACATAATTAGATAAGTGAGCAGTGCAAGGGAGTGCCTGGGGGAAAGAAGGAGAGTAAAGGTCATTATTTTATTATTAACAAGAAACAGGCACCAAATAAGGGAGGGAAGTAAAAAAGAAAAAAAAAGGACAAAAAAAAAACCCTTAAAAATAGGTTACTCGGTTACAACACCACTAGACTTGGAAAAGTTACTAATTGTCCCCTCAGTCCATAACAGATCATTCGAGGGTGGGAGATGGTGGAAGAATGAGGAAACACTGGAAGCATTTGTGCAAAAGTCAGGAACATTGCAAAGATACCCACTGGCGTGACTATTATTTAACATTGTACTAAAGGGAGCCAGCTGAGAGAGATACTAGAAGTTAGGAAAAAAAAAAAAAAAGATGACGTTAAACCCCTGGGTGTAGATGACACGATTATATACCTGCGTTCATCACCCAAAATAAAATCAACTAACTATCACAAATAAATTCCCTAAGATATATGGCATGACATTAATATATGTTCATATAGATAACTTTTCATGTATACCAAAATAACTTTCAGTTAAGCCCTAGCACCCTAAAGCATGTTGTTTGTGTATTAGTGTCCTGTGGCTTCTGTAACAAATTACCACAAACCTGGTGTCTTAATGCAAAAAATAATTATTTTCTTATAGTTCTAGGGGCCAGGAGTCTGAAATCAGTATCACTGGACCCAAATCCAGTGGGTCCAGTGTGTTGGCAGAGCCATTCTCCTTCTAAAGAATAAGCTGTTTCTTACCTCTTCCAGCTTCTGCTGGATGCTGCTGGGGAATTATTATTAAGATTAGTTAATCAATTGATTTTATGTAGTTTGTATATTATTCAATCTAGAAAACATGGAATAAGGACACTCTACCTTGTGTTTGTTTCCCCTATATACCTACTTTTATTTTATTTTACTTTATTTCATTTTATTTTTTGAAAATAGGGTCTTACTCTGTTGCCCAGGCTGGAGTGCAGTGGCATGATCTCAGCTCACTGCAACCCCTGCCTCCCAGGTTCTAGTGAGATTCTGGTGTCTCAGCCTCCCAAGTAGCTGGGACTACAAGCATGCGCTCCAATGCCAGGCCAATTTTATTTTAATTTTTAGTAGAGATGGAGTTTCACCATGTTGGCCAGGCTGGTCTCGAACTCCTGACCTCAAGTGATCTGCCTGCCTCGGCCTCCCCAAGTGCTGAGATTACAGGTGTGAACCACCACGCCAGGCTATACCTACTTTATATGACTGCTCATCTCTTTTAGGTGAAATGTGTGGCTGGAAACAATTTTGTGATCTTGCTGCCTTTTTCATTTTTGGTTATCTGTTCTTTTTTTTTTTTTTTCCAAGGTTGCCTGTAAACATCACTTGACTATTACAATTATTTTTATAGATTACTTTTACCTGATGGTTACTTTAAGGGACTCTTCATTCCCCAGCTTTTCTCTTCAACTACTTATTTTTTTAGAAACTTTAAAATTAACTTTTATAGCAAAGCAAATATTTCCATGAATTATAAAATGAATAGAAATAGTATCATCAAATACCTCTGTTCTATAAATTATAATCAAAGGAATTTATTTGAAGCAAATTGTATTTTAATTGTCTCTAGTTATGTTTTCACATGGGATTGATTAAACACCGTTATATGTGATACTACATTTTTTCAAATCCAAATGTTATTTTTAACTTTCATTATTACTTCTGTCTTTTCATTGGCATTGGCATAATATATTGTAACTTTTTCATTTTGATTTTACCATGAATAGATAGTTTTTAAATTACATTCTAAAACTGATTATGTTGACATAGGAGCATACAACTGAATTTGCTACATATGATCATTTTATTATATATCTCATTGTGTTATTTGAGATTTGTAGTTTTGTGTATTACTTAGTACTCTAGTCAGAATGTTTCTGTCTACCCAAAATTCATATGATGAAATCTCATTCCCAATGCAATAATGTTACGAGGTGGGACTTTTAGGGGCCAATTAGATCATGAGGGCAGATCCCTCATGATGGGATTAGTGCCACTATAAAAGTGGCCCAAGGAAACTTGTTCTGCCATTTGAGGACACAAAAAAGGCACCATCTATGAAGAACAGGCTCTTGCCAGACACAGAATCTACCAGTTCCTTGATCTTGGGCCTCCCATTCCCCAGAACTGTGAGCAATAAACTTCTTTTTTCTTTCTTTTTTTTTTTTTAATAAATTACCCAGTGTAAGGCACTTTGTTATAGAAGCTCAGACTAAGACACTGTGTTAGGTTATTTTTGCATTGCTATAACGGAATAATGAGACTGGCATTTATAAAGGAAAAAGATTTAATTGGCTCACAGTTCTGCAGGCTGTATAAGCATGGCACCAACATCTGCTTGGCTTCTTATCAGGGCCTCAGGAAGCATACAACCATGGTGAAAGGCAAAGCATGTCACATGGTGAGGGGAGGAGCAAGGGGCGGGGGGAGGTGCTACATACTTTTAAACAACCATATTTCACATGAACTCAGAGTGAGAACTCACTTGTCACCAGGGGATGGCACTAAGCCATTCATGAGCTAGCTATTTGTCCCCATGATCCAAACACCTTCCACCAGGCCCCACCTTCAACAGTGAAGATTACATTTCAACATGAGATTTTGAGAGGACAAATATCCAAACACATCAAACACATATAAAATAGAAACTACTACCTCTTGGAGGAAGGCATTTGTTTTTCATTGCTTTTTAGTTCCAACTAAAATTCTAATGTGGACTTTAGGAAGCCTAACAAATACTTTTTGATCACAGTATGTTACATAATAGATCTTAATTTTATTTTCATTTCACAAAGAAAAGCCATAAAACTACTTATTTAGAGCTACAAGCATTAGCCTAATTCCTACATTTTAAATAAGACTTACAGGCTGATTTTCATACAAACCAGTTGCTACTACTAAATTATCTTCATTTATGTATACCCTACCCCTTTCTACCTCCAATGTTAAGGATGTACCATTTAGAAAAAAACTGGTTAATTCTTTTTTTTTGAATACCTCAAACATACCTCATTTATTATATTGTTCAAGAGATAATAGGTCTTATAAAATGACTGGCAAGCTCATATTTTGCTAAATTACACAGATCCAATTATATTTTATACTTTTTTAATATTGTTAAACTTTTTAAATAATATTAAACTTGTATTATCTTAATAGGCCAAAACAATAACAATTTTTAAAAATTGTGATTTACCACATATTAGGGTAAATATTGGGAGCTGCTTAAATTTAGCTCATGTCATATGTTAGAATCTAGTAATCATCTTATTATATTATAAATCAAAGTTTACCCATTTATTTTACTTATATTGCTTAACCTGAAGAAAACACACAAATTATAAAAAATAACTTAGATGACTATATAAACATTGGTAATGTAAACGTTTTATCTTGTTAATTTATTTTCTATGAATATTAAAGAAAGTATGCTGATTTTTTGTTACATATATACTTTTTTCACTTCTACTAAACTTTCAGTTGTATCTAGTTTTGATTACTTAAGATCTTAAAAAAATCCTGTCTTTAGATAGTTCCCTTTTTATATGTATGTATAAGAGAAGATTATGTGATTGTAAATTCAGTGTAGACTTTCCCAATCTGCTGAAGTAAATTTTTCTCCTTATCCATTGCTAACTAGCTGTAATCTGCCAGTGGAAGGGATCATTCAGCATATTTTCATACGTGAATCAGCAAACCAATTTATAAGTTTTATTGAGTAATATTTTATGCTTAAGCCTAATACAACATCAGTCTAGGACGCAAATGAATTGAGATAGATTTAGGGGGACTTTGCTGTCCCTTTCTTTCTTTGTTTCTTTTTTTCTCTGTGAATTATCCTTTACATGTTAAAGCTGAAGGTTGTTCAAAGTTAGTTTCCAGTTTCTTCATTCTTTCATTTTTCTAGTTGGATCTTCAAATTTACATTTTCTTCAGTTTTCAGAAGCCATAGTTCACAGTGATCCTATTGTAGTAGCTTTGAATTCATTTATAAACATTCCTAACTTCATTTGGTATAAAAAGAATGTAAACTTTGGACTCAGAGAAAACTGCAAGATTAACTCTTTAAAACTACTTTCAGCGTTTGATTGAAATTTTCGATTTTTGTTATATTTTTTGGAATAAGCACACTGTGGCCCAGACTTGTTCTTTGATTATTTTCCTGTGTTTATTTATTCATACTAATTATAGATGTTCCATGATTATATTTATTTTAAAATATGAAGTATCTGAGGAACTCTTTTACAATTTTTTTTTCCAGTGGATCTTACAAGATCCATGTGGCTATTCAAAGTCACAAACAAGTACATCCCTACAATAACTCATCTTGATGGCTTATTTTAAATACTTTAAAATGTGCATGTTCACGAGATAAAAAAATATGAATTTCTTTTTTGAATCAGGATCTCGCTCTGTCACCCAGGCTGGAGGGCAGTGGTGTAATCATGGATCAGTGCAACCTCAACCTCCCAGGCACAAGCGATGCTCCCACCTCAGCCTCCCAAGTGGCTGCACTACAGGTGTGTGCCACCATGCCCAGCTAATTTTTTTCTGTATTTTTTGTAGAGACAGGGTCTTACTATGTTGCTCAGGCTGGTCTCAAATTTCTGGACTCAAGCAATCTTCCTGCCTTGGCCTCCTAAAGTGCTAGGATTACAAGCATGAGCCACCATGCCATGCCCAGCCCACTGTTTTTTAAAGAAAAGAACAGCTTTATTGAGATATAATTCATGTCATAAAGTTGAAAATTTTAAATTGTACAATCCAGTGCTTCTTAGTATATTCACAGTGTTGTATATCATTCACTACTGTTCAATTCTAGAACATTTCCTCACTCCAAAAAGAAACCCTGTATCCATTTCCTACTCTATTTCCCTCAACTCCTAGTCCTGGCAAACAGTAGTCTACTTTCTGTCTCTTTGGATTTGCGTATTCTGGATGTTTCATTTAAGTGGAATCATACAATACATGGCCTTTTGTTTCTTTCACTCATGGTAATGTTTTCAAGGCTCATCTGTGTTGCAGTATATATCAGAATTCCATTACTTTTTATAGCCAAATAATGTTCTATTATATAGATATACAGTACTGCATTTTATTTATTCATCAGGTACTTAGAGTCCATTCTTTTTGAATCACTATCAATCATCAATGATAAAAAGCCTGAAATTATAGTTTGGTATAGAGCAGTCTTTGACGTGTATTTTAGACATTAAAAAGGTGTGTGTATGTATATATGTGTATGTTTTAATTTTTGTATGTTTTAATCTTACCTTTCAAAACTCTAAAAAATTCTTAGTTCTAAAACACTGTGATTTTCCAAAGGTTTTGGATGAGGGATTTTTTATAATAACTTGAAATTAAGAAGGAAGAGGATTTGGTCATCTCTAGAGGAAAATTTTTAGCATATTCATTTTTTCTAGGTAAACATTCACTAGACCCTTTCTTTCTTCTCTTTATATCTCTAAATATAAGGCATCTCATTGACAACAATTTTAATTCTCTATCTTTCTTCCCTCATCTAATTGGTCAGGATGCCCAGTGTGTTTTACCTTATTAATAGTTCCTATTTGTTCGTTCTTTTCTGTTCTCACCACCAGAAACTGAGTTCATCTTTATTCTACATGATAACAGTGGCTTACTTTACCTGTGTCAGAGAACTTATCAATCTTTGTACTCGTCTCCTTCCAGCCACCAGCCAGTAAGCTCTTTGAAAGCAGGAACTGCCGTTTTTCTCTTGGCTTTCTTCCATAGTGGCTGGCAAAGAGTTGTACTCATCTCTTAGCTGAAAAAATAATGATGAACAAGTGGTATGAATAATATTATCACTTAATTTTTTCCCTATTCTTTAGTATAGTGTTCCTCAATGTTTCTTAGGAGGTAAACCTTAAGATTTTCAAAAAAGGATGTTATTATTTTTTAGCTACAAAAATTTGAGAAACTATATTGTCAAGAATTATATCATTAAATTTATTTTAAATATAAGCTAATATGCATAATAAAGACATTAAAACATTCTCACTTTTAGTAAATGATCTGCTTTTATTTTACTTTAAATTATGTATGGGGCAGGGAGCAGGGAATAGGAGGACTTAACAACAGTAACTATAAAAGTCAGATGATACTTAAACAGTATTTGACTTTGAGGCCAAACTAGTATTTAGGTGGATATTGAAAAGTAAATTTAAGTTGCCGCATCAAAAGTACATGCAAAACTGTGTTTATGATGTTACATTTTAGAGTTTTTTATATTTTATTCTTTCTAAATTAACTGATTTTAATTTCTAAACCAGAAAATTTTGGATTTGATCATCACCAAATTTCTTTTAACACAGACTTTTAACGTATTTGAGACTTACCCCTTTTAACTACATAAATACAACTTTTTGATATGGTGATGGTCATCTTGAGGCAAATTTATAGACATCAAAGAATGTTTATGCTTCTCATTAATTATATGTCACCAACTGTTTTTTTTTTATTCTGTCTTTAGCCAGCAATCTGTGAGTCAGTAAATTTTAAAATGTCAGACTGAGAATTAAATAATTTAAACCTGTATATTAACAAAAAATACCATGATGTCTAGAGGTCATCCAAGTGATCAACTGACTGAGTGGCTAAGATGTGAACATGCTTCTTAGGCCTCTAGGATATTCATTCATTTGCCTCAGGTGCTTTCAAATCATTCCATTTTAAAGGGAAGAAATATTTAAATAACTATGCATTTACTCATTTTTAAAATTATAAGTTAAACAGATGTTATTACTGCCTTTAACATTAACTCTGTGACCTTCTAGGTGAGAGGCCAACAAATTTTTTCTGCAAGAGGCCAGACGGTAATATTTTAGGACTTGAGACCCAGGTCTTTGTGGAGCTACTCAACTTTGCTTTTGTAGTGTGAAAGCAGCCATAGGCAGTACATAAATAAGCATGGCTGTGTTTCAACTGTATTTATAGACACTGAAATTTGAATTTTATGTAACTTTTTGCTGTCAAATATCTTTCCTCTTTTAGCATGTTTTGAACCATTTAAAAATGTAAAAACAATTCACACAGGCAATATAAAAACAGGTAGCAGATTGGACTTACTCCATGGGCTGAAGTTTGCCAACTTCTGCACTAAATGGTTCAATTCATTGGTTGGAAAAATCTGCTTTTGTAATTCATTCTTAAATTTCCCCAGTATCACATCTATCATACCACCCCAAAGTTCTTGCTAATCTGAGCTTATGCCTGATAACCAAAAGTGTTCAATTTGTTACCAGTAGCTCCTATATGACCCCTGTTATGTTGCTTCTCTACCCCATGTCACAAGTAGATTATGGAAGTAAATAAAAAGAAATTTCAACACTGTCTGCTGTGAAACTTGTCTTCGGTTGTGATTAGGTAATGTGGTATAAAGGAAATAAAACCAGGAGATGTGAAAACCAGGCTATATTCCTGGTTCTACCACTAATCAAAGTGATCAAGTTTGGTGGGCCTCTAAGGCTCCATTTTCTCACCTGCCCATCCTGACAGATTATTAAGAAGTTATAATAGCACATATGAAATTACTGGTAAGGTAACCTTAGCATTGCTATTTACCTTTATTGTCATTGTGGTAGTTAGTAGTTGTACTTTATTATTGCTCTTAAACTTGACTATGGCAGGGCTCCCTTCATATGTTAATATATCACTTAAAACTAGATATAGGTTAAGGATTGCACATTAATTTCCTCTAAGCATTTTGTGTTTCTTACTCTCACATTTTAAGCTACTCTAATCTCCTCGCTGTGGTACTTGTACCAGGTTCATTACTAACAGTAGTGTGAAATTTTATATTCTACATATTCTTTCTTACCACTACTCTGTGAGGGCAAAGACTGTCTGTTTTGTCCCTGCTACATCGCCAGCCCCCAAAATAGTGTCTGGAATATATTTGAGCACTTCTGAGTAAATCAGTGACATAAATAATCCCATATGTTCACTTGCCTTGAATTATCAAAAGGAGTAAACAAAGCTCAATAGAAATAAAATGTTTTAATGCATAAAATACATAAGATTATGAAAGATATCTACTTTGTTCAGTTTTACTGATATATAATTTATCCACAGACTCCTTGTGGGCCCATGGACCCTGTTTTTGTTTGTTTGTTTGTTTTTGTTTTTGTTTTTGAGTGGGCAGGTTGTGGGCGGGGTTTTTTTTCGAGACAAGGTCTTAGTCTGTCACCCAGGCACCATCATACCTCACTGCAGCCTGGAACTCCAGGCCTCAGGTGATCCTTCCACCTCAGCCTCCCAAATAGCTAGGAATGCAGGTGTGCAGCACCATGCCCGGCTAATTTTTTTTTTTTTTTTTTTTGGTAGAAACAAAGTTTTGCTATATCGCTGATCTCAAACTCCTGGCTTCAAGCGATTTTCCTACCTTAGCCTCCCAAAGTGCCAGAATTACAGGCATAAGCCACCATGCCCAGCCAGACCTTGGTTTTTGAAAATATGGAAGAATTTTTAATGAATATCAGGGGACACATTGTCCACAACTATAAATTGCAAAACTACTTTGATAGGATATAAAACAAATGCAAGCTTTATTTGGTCTTGTCTTTAAGAAATCCTCCCTCTGCACTTTTAAATTATAACAGAAAAAAACAATGGATTTTTAAACTTTTGGTTAAATTTCTTAAGATTACAAGAAGAAAAACAAATTTTGGCAAGCTTATACAAAAAGGGTATTTTCTGGGGAAATACTGGAGTTTCTAATGCAATTGGAAGGTGGGAAGGGAGGGAACAAAGATAGCTCTGGACAGTAGCTTTCTCCAGAGTGGAGCCAATGATAGAAATGCCCAGTCATGGGTGCAAATTTGAAAATATTAGAAGAGAAACCTGGCCGATCAAGCTTAGATCACAGATGCATGCCTCAACTGGTCAGCCAGAGCCAGAGAGTAGAAACTGTAGTAGATCTGTTAACAGTGAGATCCATTATTTGGTATGGGGATGAGCTACGAAACTACCCCAAGAGCTGTCTATAATGTAGTCTTATTAATCTGACTCCAGAAAGCAGTGCATTTATTTTATATTATTGATGTCTCAAGACAAAAAACTTTTTTTTTCTGTAGATTAGGTTTATTAGCACCAACTTCATGACTTCTAAAATGTGACTGCTTTCATGTCCAGATAGCTTGAATACAGGTATCTACCGTGATATGGGGTGGATAATTAATAATGCTTGGCTACTTATATAAAGACAGTGTTGCTTATTTTTCAAAACATTTTTTTAACAATTATATTCTTCCCTTCTCCCCAAGAGGTGGGCAGAAAAGCATTGTTAATCTCCTTTTACAGATGAGGAAAAACAAGATCAGAGGTGCTAAGTGCTGTAGCCTAGTGCTAGGTCTTCTGTCCCCAATTCTGGGTTCTCCCCAAGCCCGTGTTTCTCCTTTCTCACAATCTTTACTTCTTCCGCTGACCCTCAGCACCACCCAAAGTACTTTTAGTTCTGGAAAAGAAACCCAGCTGCACACTGGCACACTTGACCTTCATGCAGCCAGAAGCTTTGGATGGTTCCCCATCCAAAATATTAGAGATGAAATGAAAGCAAAATAGGCATCTGACAAAAGTTGCTTTTTCCCTTCTGCATTTTAGGACCTAAAGTAATGTTTATCCAGAAACTGCTGTCATACCATAGATTCATTGTACATTCAACAACATAAGCATACAATCTGGCAAATTAAAAATCTCTTAACCTACACCCCGGATCCCTGCCCAAATTTAAGAAAAGAACTAGGGTGGACACAGTGTTTTTTCCATGTCACGTCTTCTGTGATGGGGCTACGGTATGTGGGAGCAGAGAATGGGGTGGGTGGGTGAAGCGTATGCCAGATGAGGATCTATCAGCAATGGGAGGGATCCTCTGCTTTAGCATCTCCACCCCTGCTCCTCTCAGAGGATGGCCTTTCTTTGCATTCAGCTGTGATGGTAGCAAGAACACAGGCACACCAAAGATGAGGAGAGAGGGAGCCTTGTGCTCTCTCTCTGCATCTGAGGCAGGACAGCACAGGGTATGGAGCAGTCTGCAGAGAGGCCAGCTCATCAGCTCTTCATGGAAGCACTTGTCTTCCACCTTGGGCTTTGAGCGCTGGGCAACTGGCCCCTGGGGATCAATGGAATAATCCTAAGCAGACTTACTCTATGTCACACTATGGAATGTTCCAAGTAGGTGGCCATGTTTTCATAAGATGTCTTTTCCTCCTTTTGTTGTTGCCATTTCATATGTTTAGGATTGGATGTGTGTTTCTTCTCTCTGAATGGCACTCGAATGTTTGCTGAGTCCTATTCTGTATGACTGGGGCGTACAGCTGTGGACTGATGCATGCCATCCCATCATCTTTCATGATCAAAGCAGTCTCTTCTTTTTTGACAGCTGAAGAAACATCAAGTCACCCTTAGTCTGCCACTAATTTATTTCCTTCTTGCTTAAATGATGAGAGACATATAATCTCCACCCTCACGGAGTTGTCATTACCCTTCTTTTCAAGGGCCAGTTTCCCTTGCCTCCATAACTGTTGTTGGTACTGATGGCCAGGCTTCCAAACCTCTTAAAACTCCCCCGATAAAAAACATTTTACTCCAAATTGCAAGACAGCTTTGTCCATTGATGTGTATATAGACAATATAGACAAAATTAAGAATTTTAATATGTGCCAGATCACTCACTAGCGTATTAATACATAATTTAATATCATACAATATAGCCAGTATAGTGTAGTGGCAATATGGCATGGGACTTAAGAGTATAAGCCCTTGACCAGACTTGCATGGCTTAATGTCTTAGCCCTACCACTGGATGAGACCACTGGATAGGTCTCATCCAGGCTGGGCTCAGCTGGACTTGGTTCTTGGTAGGGGGTAAGTCTAGGTTCATATCACATATCTCTCATCTTCCTTGGATCAACGGATACCTGAGACATTTTTTTTTCTCAGTATGAACAGCAGGATTGCAAGGGAACAGACTAATCTGCATAAGCATATTTCAAAGTTCTACTTAGGTAATGTCTGCTATTATTCAATTAGCTAAGAGAAGTTACATAGCCGAGCCCAAAGTCAAAGCACAGAGAGGTGCACACTTTCTGTGGAGATGTGGTAGTGAAACAGATGGCAATCTATTCTACCACAGGGGATGATACAGTCATGCATCGCTTAATGACATGAGTACTTTCTGTATTGTTAGGCAATTTCCTCATTGTGTGAACAGCATAGAGTGTACCTACAGAAATCTAGATGTTATAGCCTACTGTACACTTACGCTATAGGGTATAGCCTATTGCTCCTAGGTTACAAACCTGTGCAGCATATTATTGTACTGAATACTGTAGAGAATTACAACATAATGGTATTTGTATATCTAAACAAAAAAGGTACAATAAAAGTAAGATATGAAAGATAAAAACTGGTACATCTGTATAGAAGATTTACCACGAATGGAGCTTGGAGGACTGGAAGTTGCTCTGAGTGAGTCAGTGAGTGAGTAGTGAGTGAATGCGAAGGCCTAGGACATTACTGTATACTAATGTAGACTTTATAAATAATGTAGACTTAGGCTACACTAAATTTATTTTAAAAGTTTTTTTCTACAATAACAAATTAACCTTAGTTTACTGTAACTTTTACTTTATAAACTTTAAATTGTTTAACTTCTTGATGCTTTTATAATAACACTTGGCTTAAAACACAAAGCACAATCATGTACAGCTGTGCAAAAATATTTTCTATTTATCCTTATCCTATAAGCTTGTTTCTATTAAATTTTTTTCTTTTTAAACTTTGTTGTTAAAAACTAAGACACAAACACACACATTAGGCTAGGCTTATGCAGGGTCAGGATCATCAGTATCGCTTTCCTCCACCTCCATATCTTGTCTCACTGGAAGGATCTCAGGGGCAGTAACCCACACGGAGCTGTCATCTGCTATGTAACAGTGCTTTCTTCTGGAGTACCTCCTGGAGGACCTGCCTGAGGCTGTTTTACAGTTAACTTTTTTTTTTAATAAGTAGAAGGAGTACACTCTACTATAACAATTAAAACATAGAGTATAGTAAATACTAGGCAATAGGAATTTTTTGACTTCATTATAATCTTATGGGATCATTGTCATATATGCAATTGATAGTTGACCAAAACAATATTATACAGCACATGACTAATAGAGAGTTGTAAGGTTAGTGTATGTAAAAAGCTTAAAATAGTTTCTGGTGCATAGAAAATGTCCAATAAACGTTTGCTATTATTAGGCATACAGAAACACACAAAAATTCAGTATTGTGTAACTGTAACATAAAATACATATTTGGCAAAGGTGTCACTAAGTGACACTTTTTCCTATCCTAAGCAAAAAGAACAAAAAACTGGGGAAATCACATTACCTAACTTCACATTATCCTACAAAGCTATAGTAACATTTAAACAAATAAACATGCTTAAGTTTAATTGAAAAGCTAGTGTGAGCCAACCTCTAGGATAGTCAAATATTATCACAATTATTTACTGTTAGCAGAATCAGAGAATGGCTAAAGATCACCAGGTTTTATCCACTCATTTGACAGATAATGAATCGAGCCAAAATGGCGAGATATGTAAGTCAAAGAGGAAGAAGTGGATGAATGGAGGATGGATAGATGAATAATAAATAGGTAAGTAGTTGATAGAAAAAGGAAAGGAAGGAAACCAACCTAGATCTCTAGAACTCTAGCTGAGAACTCTTCCCACTGTATCACACAGACCAGGTGTTTTTTCCTGTAGTTTATATAAATACTGTTTATCATATTTTTCTATCCTTCTGCCTTTCAATGAGCCTTAAAAGAAGAGATAATTTTAATAATAATATTTTTAAAAGTTCAACTATTGCTTCAATTGAGAGATGACTGTAGGACAAGATTTACTTAAAATGTAAAAATAACACAAAGCTAATCCTTACAGAGGCCTTCATTTGTCCACTTAGCTAATATTTATTCAGTTATTATTATCTGTTAGGCACTGGACTACAGAGCAAAAACAAAACAAATCTTTGTTCTTGTGAACATGCATTATGTGGAAGAGACAAGAAATTAACAAATTAATAAGTAGTATGTTCCACAGTCCCTTATCTGCAATTCTAATATCAAAAAGCTTGGGAAACTGGAAATTTTGACATTTCAAATAGTGGTAAAAGCTGAATCAGATTCATTTAGTAGTAAAGCTGATATGAGACTAGTCATAGTCTTATTTTTTATTTTAATTTTTGTGGGTACCTATGTGTATATATTTGTACGATATATGAAATGTTTTGATACAGGCATGCAACATGTAACAATCACATCATGTAAAATGGGATATTCATCACCTCAAGCATTTATCTTTTCTGTTACAATCAAATTATACTTTTAGTTTTTTTCTAAGACATCTTGTTATAACAATTTTTACTTATTTTAAATATACAATTAAATTACTATCAACTATAGTCACCCTGTTGTGCTATCAAATACTAGGACTTAATTCATTCTTTCTAGGAGTTTTTGTACCCATTAACCATCCCCACGTATCCCCAACCCTCCAACTACCCTTCCCAACATCTGGTAACCATCCTTCTCTCCTCTATCTCCATGAGTTCAATAGTTTTGATTTTTAGATCTCACACATAAGTGAAAACATGCTTTGTCTTTCTGTCCCTGGCTTAACTTAGCATAATGACCTCTAGTTCCATTCATGTTGTTGCAGATGACAACATCTTATTCTTTTTGATGACTGAATAGTACTTTATTGTGTGTCAGTACCACACTTTCTTATATTCATCTGTTGATGGACACTTAGGTTGCTTCCAAATTTTGGCTATTGTGAACAGTGCTGCAACAAACATGGGATTGCAGATAACTCTTCGATACGCTGATTTCTTTTGGGTATATACCCAGCAGTGAGATTACTGAATCATGTGGTAGCTCTATTTTTAGTTTTGAGGAACCTCCAGACTGTTCTCCATAGTGCTTTTAGTAATTTACATTCCTACCAAGACTGGGGTTCCGTTTTTTCCACATCCTTGCCAGCATTTGTTATTGCCTTTCTTTTGACTAAAAGCCGTTTTAACTGAGGTGAGATGATATCTCATTGTAGTTTGGATTTGCATTTCTCTAATTATCAGTGATGTTGAGCACTTTCTCATATGCATGTTTGCCATTTCCATGGCTTCTTTTGAGAAATGTTTACTCAAATCTTTTGCCCATTTTTTAATCAGATTATCAGATTTTTTCCCATAGAGTTGAGCTCCTTGTATATTCTAGTTATTAACCCCTAGTCTGATGGGTAGTTTGCAAATATTTTCTCCAATTCTTTGTGGTGTCTCTTCACTTTGTTGTTTCCTTTGCTGTGCAGAAACTTCTTAAGTTGATATGATCCCATTTGTCTATTTTTGTTTTGATTGCCTGTGCTCGTAGGGTATTACTCAATAAATTTTTATTCAGACCAATGTCTTGGAGATTTTTCCCCAATGTTTTCTTGTAGTAGTTTCATAATCTGAGGGTCTTAGGTTTAAATCTTTAATGTATTTCTATGTGATGTTTCTATATGGCTTGAAATAGCAGTCTAACTGCATTCTTGTGCATATGGATATTCATTTTCCCCAGCACCATTTATTGAAGAGACTGTCTTTTCCACGGTGTATGTTCTTGGCACATTTGTTGAAAATGAGTTTACTGTAGGTGTGTGAATTTGTTTCTGGGTTCTCTATTCTGTTCCGTTGGTCTACATGTGTGTTTTTATGTCAGTGCCATGCTGTTTTGATTACTATAGCTCTGTAGTATAATTTGAAGTCAGGTAATGTGATTTTCTCAGTTTTGTTCTTTTTGCTTAGGATAGCTTTGACTATTTTGAATTTTCTGTGGTTCCATATAAATTTTACAAAATTTATGTGTGTGTGTTTGAAGAATGTCATTGGTATTTTGATAGGGATAGACCTGATTCTGTAAATTGCACTGGGCAGTATGGACATTTTAATAATATTGATTCTTCCAATCCATGGACATGGAGTATCTTTCTGGTTTCTTTCGGTGTCCTCTTCAATTTCTTTCATCAGTATTTTATAATTTTCACCATAGAGATCTTTCACTTCTTTCATTAAGTTAATTCCTAGGTATTTATTTGTGGCTACTGTAAATAGGATTCCATTTTTAGTTTCTTTTTCAGATTGTTCACTGTTGCATTTTGAAATGCTACTGTTTTTTGTAGGTGGATTTTATATCCTGCAACTTTACTAAATTTGTTTATCAGTTTGAATAGTTGTGTGTATGTGTGTGTGTGTGTTTGGGGTCTTTACATTTTTCCAAATATAATATTATGTCATCTGCAAACAAGGATAATTTGACTTCTTTCCTTCCAATTTAGATGCCCTTTATTTCTTTCTCTTGTCTGGTTTTCTAGCTAGGACTTCCAGTACTATGTCGAGTAACAGTGAGAAAAGTGGCCATCCTTTTCATCTTCCAGATCTTATACAAAAGGCTTTTAGCTTTTCCATATTCAGTATGATGCTAGCTGTGAGTCTGTCATCTATGGTTTTTCTGATGCTAATGTACATTCTATATCCAGTTTTTTAATGGTGGATTATAAAGGGATGTTGAATTTTATCAACTGCTTTTTCACCATCAGTTGAAATGATCATATGGTTTTTGTCTTTCATTCTATTGATATGATACATCACATTGATTAATTTGTACATGTTGAACCATCCTTGCATCCCAGGGATAAATCCCACCTGGTCATGATGAATAATCTTTCTAATGTACTGTTGAATTTGGTTTGCTAGTATTTTGTTGAGGATTTTTGCATCACTATTCATCAGAAATACTGGCCTGTGGTTTTCTTTTTTTAATGTGTATTTGTCTATTTTTGGTATAAGGGTAATACTGGGCTCATAGAATGAGTTTGGAAGTATTCCCTTTTCTGTTTTTTGGAGTAGTTTGAGTAGTATTGGTATTCATTTTTTAAATATTTGGTAGAATTCAGCAGTGAAGCCATCAGTTTCTGGGCTTTTCTTTCCTGGGAGACTTTATTACAGCTTCAATCTCATTACTTGTTACTGGTTTGTTCAGGTTTTGGATTTCTTCATGGTTTAATCTTGGTATGTTGTATTTTTCTAGGAATTTGTCCATTTCTTCTAGATTTTCCAATTTATTGGCATATGGTTTCTCATAGGAGTAATTAATGATCATTTGAATTTCTGTCGTATCATTTGTAATGTCTCCATCTTCATCTCTGATTTTATTTATTTGGATCCTCTCTCTTTTTTTCCTAGTGTGGCCAAAAGTTTGTTAATTTTGCTTAACTTTTCAAAAAACTAACTTGTTTATTTCAATTTTATTTATTTATGCTCTGCTCTTTATTTTTTCTTTTACTTATTTTGGGTTTGGTTTGCTCTTGCTTTTCTAGTTCTTTAAGATGAATCTTTAGGTTGTCTATTTGAAGTTTTTCTTCTTTTTTCATGTAGGCACTTATGGCCGTAAACTTCCTTCTTAGTACTACGTTTGCTATATTCCATAGGTTTTGCTTGTTGTGTTTCCATTATCATTTGTTTCAATGAATGTTTCAATTTTCTTTTTAATTTCCTCATTGACCCACTGGTCATTCAGGAGCATATTGTTTAATTTCCATGTATTTGTACAGTTTACAAAATTCCTCTTATTATGGATTATGAGTTTTATTCCACTTTGGTCAGAGAACATGCTTGATATTATTTCAGTTTTTTGAATGTTTTAAGATTTGTTTTGTGACCTAATGTCTTCTCTTGAGAATCATCCATGTGCTGAGGAAAAAAATGTGTATTCTGCAGCCATTGGATGAACTGTTCTGTAAATGTCTATTAGGTCTATTTGGACTGTAGTGCAGATTGTCCAATGTTGCTTTGTTGATTTCTCCATCTGGACGATATGTCTCTGTCTGATACTGAAAGTATGGTGATGAAGCCTCTAGCTTTATTTTATTTATTTATTTATTTTTTGAGATGGAGTCTCGCTCCGTCACCAGGCTGGAGTGCAGTGGCACCATCTCGGCTCACTGCAACCTCTGCTTCCCAGGTTCAAGCAATTCTCCTGCCTCAGCCTCTTGAGTAGCTGGGACTACGGGTGCACGTTGCCACGCCTGGCTAATTTTTTTTTTTTTTTTTTTTTTTTTTTTTTTAGTAGAGACGAGGTTTCACCATGTTGCCCAGGCTGGTCTCAAATTCCTGAGCTCAGACAATCTGCTCACCTTGGCCTCCCAAAGTGCTAGGATTACAGGCGTGAGCCACCACACCTGGCTGCCTCTAGCTATTAGTGTATTGGGGCCTATCTCTATCTTTAGCTCTAATAATATTCGCTTTATAAATCTGGGTGTGTCAGTGTTGGGTGCATATGTATTTAAAATTGTTTTGTTTTGTTTTTTTGCTGAATTGACCCCTTTATCATAACATAGTGACTTTTTTTGTCTCTCTTATAGTTTTTGACTATAAATCTATTTTGTCTGATAAAAGTATGGCCACTCCTGCTCTTTTGGTTTCCATTGGCATGGAATATTTTTTTTTCCATCCCATTACTTTCACTCTATGTTTGTATTTATAGGTGAAGTGTATTTCTCATAGGCAACAGATCACAGGGTCTTGTCTTTTTTTTGTATCCATTCAGCAACTCAATGTCTTTTGATTGGAGAGGTTAGTCCACTTACATTCAGTTTCTTTATTGGTAAGTAAGGACTTACTCCTGCCATTTTGTTATTTGTTTTCTGGTTATTTTGTGGTCTTCTTTCCTTCCTGTCTTCCCTTCAGTGAAGGTGATTTTCTTGGGTCTTGCCTTTTATGTTTTGTGTATTAGTTGTATGTTTTTTTGGTTTGAGGTTACCAAGAGGTTTGCAAATACTATCTTATAACCCATTATTTTAAGCTGATAACAACTTAACACTGTTTACATAAACAAACAAACAAAAAACTAATAAACACTCTATGCCTTAACTTCATCCCCCTGTTTTTTTGACTTTCTGTTGTTTCCATTTATATTTTATTGTATTGTTTATGTCTTGAAAACTTGTTATGGTTATTTTTTATTTATTTTATTGGTTAATTATTTCATTTTTCTATTTAAGATAGGAGTAGTCTACACACCACAGTTACAGTGTTATAATATTCTGTGTTTTCCTGTGTATTTGCTATTACCAGTGAGTTTTGTACTTTCAGATGATTTGTTGCTTATTAATGTCCTCTTCTTTCTGATCAAAATACTCCCTTTAGCATTTCCTGCAGAAAGTTCTGGTGTTGATAAAATCCCTAAGCTTTTGTTTGTCTGGGAAAGCCTTTATTTCCTATTCATGTTTGAAGGATATTTTCACTGAATATACCATTCTAGAGTAAAAGTTTTTTCCTTCACCACTTTAAATATGTCATGCCATTCTCTCTTGGCCTGTGAAGTATGAAATGAAAATTCTGCTGTCAGATATATTGGAACTCCATTGTATGCTATTTCGTTTTTCTTGCTGCTTAGGATCCTTTCTTTATCCTTGACCTTTGGGAGTTCAATTATTAAATGCCTTAGGGTAGTCTTCTTTGGGTTAATTCTGCATGGTGTTCTATAACCTTCTTGTACTCTCGATATTGATATCTTTTATAGGTTTGGGAAGTTCTCTGTTGCTATTCATTTGAGTAAACTTTCTGCCTCTATCTCTTTCTCTACCTTCTCTTCAAGGCCAATAACTCGTAGATTTGCCATTTTGAGGCTATTTTCTTTTTTTTTTCATTATTATACTTTAAGTTTTAGGGTACATTTGCACAATGTGCAGGTTTGTTATGTATGTTCATATGTGCCATGTTGGTGTGCTGTACCCATTAACTTGTCATTTAGCATTAGGTATATCTCCTAATGCTATCCCTCCCCTCTCTCCCCACCCACAACAGTCCCCGGTGTGTGATGTTCCCCCTCCTGTGTCCATGTGTTCTCATTGTTCAATTCCCACCTATGAGTGAGAACATGTGGTGTTTGGTTTTTTGTCCTTGTGATAGTTTGCTGAGAATGATGGTTTCCAGCTTCATCCATGTCCCTACAAAGGACATAAACTCATCATTTTTTATGGCTGCATAGTATTCCATGGTGTATATGTGCCACATTTTCTTAATCCAGTCTACCATTGTTGGACATTTGGGTTGGTTCCAAGTCTTTGCTATTGTAAATAGTGCCGCAATAAACATACGTGTGCATGTGTCTTTATAGCAGCATGATTTATAATCTTTTGGGTATATACCCAGTAATGGGATGGCTGGGTCAAATGGTATTTCTAGTTCTAGATCCCTGAGGAATCGCCACACCGACTTCCACAATGGTTGAACTAGTTTACAGTCCCACCAGCAGTGTAAAAGTGTTCCTATTTCTCTACATCCTCTCCAGCACCTGTTGTTTCCTGACTTTTTAATGATCACTATTCTAACTGGTGTGAGATGGTATCTCATTGTGGTTTTGATTTGCATTTCTCTGATGGCCAGTGATGGTGAGCATTTTTTCATGTGTGTTTTGGCTGCATAAATGTCTTCTTTTGAGAAGTGTCTGTTCATACCCTTGACCCACTTTTTGATGGGGTTGTTTGTTTTTTTCTTGTAAATTTGTTTGAGTTAATTGTAGATTCTGGATATTAGCCCTTTGTCAGATGAGTAGGTTGCAAAAATTTTCTCCCATTCTGTAGGTTGCCTGTTCACTCTGATGGTAGTTTCCTTTGCTGTGCAGAAGCTCTTTAGTTTAATTAGATCCCATTTGTCAATTTTGGCTTTTGTTGCCATTGCTTTTGGTGTTTTAGACAGGAAGTCCTTGCCCATGCCTATGTCCTGAATGGTATTGCCTAGGTTTTCTTCTAGGGTTTTGATGGTTTTGGGTCTAACATGTAAGTCTTTAATCCATCTTGAATTAATTTTTGTATAAGGTGTAAGGAAGGGATCCAGTTTCAGCTTTCTACATATGGCTAGCCAGTTTTCCCAGCATCATTTATTAAATAGGGAATCCTTTCCCCATTGCTTGTTTTTCTCAGGTTTGTCAAAGATCAGGTAGTTGTAGATACGCGGCATTATTTCTGAGGGCTCTGTTCTGTTCCATTGGTCTATATCTCTGTTTTGGTACCAGTACCATGCTGTTTTAGTTACTGTGGGCTTGTAGTATAGTTTGAAGTCAGGTAGCATGATGCCTCCAGCTTTGTTCTTTTGGCTTAGGATTGACTTGGCAATGTGGGCTCTATTTTGGTTCCATATGAACTTTAAAGTAGATTTTTCCAATTCTGTGAAGAAAGTCTTTGGTAGCTTGATGGGGATGGCATTGAATCTATAAATTACCTTGGGCAGTGTGGCCATTTTCACCATATTGATTCTTCCTACCCATGAGCATGGAATGTTCTTCCATTTGTTTGTGTCCTCTTTTATTTCCTTGAGCAGTGGTTTGTAGTTCTCCTTGAAGAGGTCCTTCACATCCCTTGTAAGTTGGATTCCTAGGTATTTTATTCTCTTTGAAGCAATTATGAATGGGAGTTCACTCATGATTTGGCTCTCTGTCTGTTATTGGTGTATAAGAATGCTTGTGATTTTTGCACATTGACTTTGTATCCTGAGACTTTGCTGAATTTGCTTATCAGCTTAAGGAGATTTTGGGCTGAGACAATGTGGTTTTCTAGATATACAATCATGTCCTCTGCAAACAGGGATGATTTGACTTCCTCTTTTCCTAATTGAATGCCCTTTATTTCCTTCTCCTGCCTGATTGCCCTGACCAGAACTTCCAACACTATGTTGAATAGGAGTGGTGAGAGAGGGCATCCCTGTCTTGTGCCTGTTTTCAAAGGGAATGCTTCCAGTTTTTGTCCATTCAGTATGATATTGGCTGTGGGTTTGTCATAGATGGCTCTTATTATTTTGAGATACGTCCCATCAATCCCTAATTTATTGAGAGTTTTTAGCATGAAGCATTGTTGAATTTTGTCAAGGGCCTTTTCTGCATCTATTGAGATAATCATGTGGTTTTTGTCTTTGGCTCTGTTTATATGCTGGATTACGTTTATTGATTTTCGTATGATGAACCGGCCATGCATCCCAGGGATGAAGCCCACTTGATCATGGTGGATAAGCTTTTTGATGTGTTGCTGGATTTGGTTTGCCAGTATTTTATTGAGGATTTTTGCATCAATGTTCATCAATGATATTGGTCTAAAATTCTCTTTTTGCTGTGTCTCTGCCAGGCTTTGGTATCAGGATGATGCTGGCCTCATAAAATGAGTTAGGGAGGATTCCCTCTTTTTCTGTTGATTGGAATAGTTTCAGAAGAAATGGTACCAGCTCCTCCTTGTACCTCTGGTAGAATTCGGCTGTGAATCCATCTGGTCCTGGACTTTTTTTAATTGGTAAGCTATTAATTATTGCCTCAATTTCAGAGCCTGTTATTGATCTATTCAGAGATTCAACTTCTTCCTGGTTTAGTCTTGGGAGAGTGTATGTGTCAAGGAATTTATCCATTTCTTCTAGATTTTCTAATTTATTTGCATAGAGGTGTTTATAGTATTCTCTGATGGTAGTTTGTATTTCTGTGGGATCGCTGGTGATATCCCCTTTGTCATTTTTTATTGCGTCTATTTGATTCTTCTCTCTTTTCTTCTTTATTAGTCTTGCTAGTGGTCTATCAATTTTGTTGATCTTTTCAAAAAACCAGCTCCTGGATTCATTGATTTTTTTGAAGGGTTTTTTTGTCTCTATTTCCTTCTGATCTTAGTTATTTCTTGCATTTTGAGGCTATTTTGCAGCCTGCTTTGCTTCATTGTTTTTTCTTTTCTTTCTTTTTTTTTTGTCTTTTCTGTGTATTTTCAAACAGCCTATCTTCAAGCTCATTAATTCTTTATTCAGCTTGATCACACCTGCTATTAATGGACTTTGATGCATTTTTCAATATGGCAGTTGCATTTTTCAGCTCCAGAATTTCTGCTTGATTCTTTGTAATTATTTCAATCTCTTTGTTAAGCTAATCAGATAGGATTCTGAATTCCTTCTCTGTGTTATCTTGAATTTCTTTGACTTTCCTCAGCACAGCCATTTTGAATTCTCTGTCTGAAAAGTCACATATCTCTGTTTCTCCAGAATTGGTCCCTGGTGCCTTATCTATTTCATTTGGTGAGGTCATGTTTTCCAGGATGGTGTTGATGCTAGTAGATGTTCTTTGATGTCTGGGCATTTAAGGGTTAGGTATTTATTATAGTCTTCACTTTCTGTACTTACTCGTAGCTGTCCTTCTTGGGAAGGCTTTCCAGATATTCAAAAGGACTTGATTGTTGTGATCTAAGTGTTGTGATCTAAGCTGTATCTGCTTTAGGGGCACCACAAGCCTGGTAATGCTATAGTTCTTACAGACTCATAAAGGTACTGCCTTGATGGTCCTGGACAACATCCAGAAGGATTATCTGGATTACCAGGCATTGACTCTTGTTCTCTTTCCTCACGTTCTCCAAATGAATGGAGTCTGTCTGTCCCACCCCACCCCCATCTCTGTCTCTGTCTCTGTCTCTCTCTCTCTGTTCTAGGCCATCTGGAGCTGGGAATATTGTGACATAACCACCTCTGTGGCCGTCACCACTAGAACTGTACTAGGCCAGACCTGAAGCCAGCACAGCACTGGGTCTCACCTGAGGCTTGCTGTAACCACTCCTGGGCTTCAGCCTGTGTTCACTCAAGGCTTTAGGGCTCAACAATCAGCAGGTGACAAAGCCAGCCAGGCCTGTATCCTTCACTTCAGAGTGGCGGGTTCCCCAAGTCCCTGGGCATGTCCAGAGGTGCCATGCAGGAGCCAGGGACTAGAGTAAAAAAATCTCAGAAGTCTACCTGGTGTTCTATTGTACTGTGGCTAAGCTGGCACTGAACTCAAAAGATGTAGTCCTCCCCACTCTTCCCTTCCCTTTTTAAAGGCAGAAGAGCCTCACCCTATGGCTACCGCTACCACATCTCCACAGGGAGTGCTGTACCACTGATGTTCCCTTAAGGCCCAAGGGCTCTTCAGTCAGCTTGTGTTGCATGCTGCCTGGCCTAATACTCACCCTTCAGGGCAGCAGGCTGTCCTCTGACCCAGAGCAGGTCCAGAAATTCTATTCAATAGCCAAGTCCTGGAACCTGGGACCCCAATAACCTGCTTGGTGCTCTGACCCCTGTGGCTCAGCTGGTAACTAAGGTACAAGACAAAGTTCCCTTTGCTTTTCCCTTTGATTTTCTCAAGAAGAAGGAGTCTCACCCTGTACCCACCACAACTAGGAATGTGCTTAGTCTCACCTGAAGCCAGCAAGTCTCAGAGTCTCACCCAAGGCCCTCAATGTAGTACCTGGGTATTACTGCTGGTTGTTCAGGGCCCAAGGTCTCTTCAGTTAGAAGGTGATGAATGCTGCCAGGACTGGGTTCTTCCGTTCAAGGCAGCAGGTTGCCTTGTTGCCCAGGGTGTGTCTAGAAATGTCATTCACTAGCAAGATCTGGAAAGGGGACTTCATAACTCTAACTGGTGCCCTACCCTGCTGTGGCTGAGCTGGTATCCAAGATCCCAGAGTCCTCTTTATTCTTCCTTCTTCTCTCCTTAAATGGAGTGAGTGGGTCTTTTTTGGAGCCACCAGCTGTATAGCCTGTGGTTAGGAGGAGGTGATGCCAGCACTCCCTTCCCCACCCTGGCTGGTGTCTCAGTAAGTCACATACCCCCCTCCTCCAGTCCACTGTCTCTGGCCCAAGTTCAACACTAGGACTTGCCTTGGAGTTGCAGTCCTTATGGCCTAGCCTGCCTTTCCAGTTTATTTTGGGCCACAGAACACTTTAGCCTGCACTGATGAGGCTTGCAGGAACTCAAGTTTGGACCACTGGGATTGGCGATTCCTTTCTGGCTAAACAGGCCTGGTTAAAATGCTCCTTTTTTGGGTGGACATCAGCTGTGTTTGGTCTACTTTTGTTTTCTGTTATAATAGGGCAGCACTGAGCTCAGTGCCTCATAAATGCTACAATCTCCCTGTCTCCAGCACACCAAACACTCTCCACACCATGCCTCTGCTGCTGCGGGAGAGGTGGCATCAGCTATTTAAGACTGTTTTTCCTACCTGTTCAGTGCCTCATTAGTGATATGAAGTTAAAGCCAGGTACTGTGAGTGCTCACCTGATTTTTGAGTCTTATGAAGGTGCTTTTTTTTGTGTAGATAGTTATTGAATTGATGTCCTTGCTTGGAGGGACAATCAGTGGAGATTTCTATTCTGCCATCTTGCCCTGCTTCAAGTTATAGTCTTTAAAAAATCTCACTTAGAATGAATATATGTTTTACTGCAAGGCTGTTAACATGTTTGACTTCAGGGTGCTTTCCCAGACGTCTTGGATGGGAGGGGAGAAGGGTAGGAGATGTTGCATAATTATAGTATATGTACTATATTACCTTAAAAATACCAAAAATACTTAATTCCAAATGACATCTGGCTTCACCGGGATTGTGGGGCTACATAATATCTAGGAATTATAAATACTGTGAATGGAAATGAAGCAGGTATGGATATAGAGAATGAAGGCCAATGGTGAAGAGGGTAAAAGTTGGAGGCGGAGGTTTTTTAGCTAGACTGGTGAGAGAATCCTCTCTGGGAAGTGATATTTGAGAAGATCCAGAAACAATCCAGAAGCTTTCAAGGAAAAAGAGTGTTTTAGTCAGTGGGAACAGACATGTCGTTATCTAAAGAGACATTCCAATCTGAGAGAAGACAAAGGTCAAAGACTTAAATCAAGAGTGTGCTTAGCATGTTTGAAGAAGAACATGAAGGCCACTAAGGCTACAGAATACGAAACAAGAGGAAGAGTGATCAGATAGGCTTTCAGAAAGGTAACCAGGATCCAAGTCCTTGCCTTAGATGTTATGGAAAGTCTTTGGGGGATTTTGAACAAGGGAGTCTTAAATTCAGTTTTCTTTTTAAAAATGTCATTCTGTTGCTCTATAGATAATTTTTAAAAATCATTCTTTTGTTACGTGGATAGTAGAGTAGTAGATGGTTGCAGTGGTGAGGATTGGAAAAGATAAGTGATCATGACAATGGATGAAACTCAGAAATTTAATGATGTGTGATCATATAGATACTTTTTTTGTTTTTTTCAAGAAAGCGTCTCACTGTTACCTAATTGGAATGCAATGGCATGATTGTAGTGCATTGCAGCCTCGACCACCTGGGCTCAAGTGATCCTCCTGGTGGAGGCTCCCGAGTAGCTAGGGCTATAGTATAGCATGCAATACCATATCTGACTTTTTTTCTTTTTTTTTTTTTTGGTAGAGACATAGTCTCACTATGTTGCCAACACTGTATAGATACTTTTTAATAAAATAATGTCCTATATTATATTTTAACAAAATAATATCTTTTAGGTATCTGTTGCGTGAATGGTATGCTATGAATTGATAATCTAAATATTTTGGTTTTTGTTCTAGATTTTTCCCTAAGTGTTAGAGCTAAGAAATCAGCTTGGTCATTATAGTGCTCTTGCCAGTCTCCTTCTCTTTTCTCAAAGAGGGAAAGAGCCCCAGCTAGAGGAAAGAGCCCCCAAACTTGGAGTAAAAAGAACTGTTTTCTCATCTCCGATCTGCCACTGACTATAACGTTGTTTATTTAACCTCTTTTGATTTTGGTTTTCTGTACTGTAAAGTGGATTGAATTACCTGATTGATATAGCTCTTTTTGAATCTTCAGTCTTAAATTTAACAAGCCCTTTCTGTTAGAGTCTAAAATTCTATGATTTTAAATGAGACTGCATAAAAATCTCAAAACTTCCTTAAATATGAATGTAAAAGAATACAGAATAACTGGATGTGTTCAAAATTGGTAAATTCACCCTGGTATCGTTTTTAACAGGACCAAGGAAATAAATACCAGAAATCAAGAAGAGCACACACTATTTTCCTTCATCAATCCATAGAACCCTAATGCTTCTTTAGTTCCATCAAACACAGAGGAATGACCACCATGGCAGATGGCAACAGAGGATGTCAACAATTTTTTGGAGGCAAGCAATGAAATATTTCTACTATGAGTTTTCTGTTATTAATCATGTAGACACAAGTAGAATTATATTGGGTTTTAATTTAAAATGAAAAGTATTATTTCCTGTAGGAATTTATGTATGCATGTCTTTTTCTTTATTTTCTTTTTTTCCTCTTTTAACACTATAGCATGTCAAAAATTACATTAAGATGCATTTGCCCTTACCTCTAGAGTAACAGATAGAATAAGGCTATCTTAAATCCTGAAATACAGAACAAGGATTTAAATAACCAAAATTAAGTACCTATATTTGAAAGCAGGGCTTTTTCATATCTCTCTTGGACACATATATAACTGTAAATACTAAATAAAATTGGAAATCAGAATTATTTTCTATTTATTTTAGAGTTAGTCATACTATTTATGAGTTTTATATAGTTAAAGGTAGCCCAGCATTTTTCCTCCCTTTTCTTTAACAACTAATCTACAGTGCTCCAAAATCTTGGAAAGCTATCCCTTTAAAACTCTCACAGCTTTACATTTTGTGAAAATTCTGCATCAAAATATTTCATTGAACTTTTAGTTAATTCCATGACAGCTCCTATTGCTCCCAAAGAGCATCTGGGCAAGGATTGTGGACCACAATGCCACCTTCAAATTTCAAATTGATTACATTACCTTTAAAAGAAAAGCTTGCTTGGAAAGAAATTGACCATATATATTTTTAAGTGTATAAGGAATCTGGCTTTTTTTCTACATTCATGAAAAATATAGACTTAAGTAGATGAAAATAAAACAAAATAAAAATATACACTTTTAAAATTTTAAGTAGAATTCACTGAAATGTAATCTTTCAAGGGATTTCATACAAAGAAACTATATATATATGCTTAGAATTTTTTATTTAGTGTTAATTCAACTCATCAGCCTGAGGTCATCCATGAAAACGTGTCTGCTTTTTAAGTTTCACATAAGAGGAATGCTTTCTATAAATAAAGACAATGATAAATGTTTAAAAAGCCCAGTGTAGAGATTCTGAGTTTTCTTTCAGTAACTAGAGTCAAAATTAATTCTTGCTTTTCTGTTGGGGAAAATTTCATCTAATTACATTCAATTTATTCTGCAACTTTTTGGACAGCAAATCCTGATCACCAAAGAAAAAGCAGCTGTGTTGCCTTTGCCTCACAATTATAACAATAGTATTATTATGCAGTCAACAGAGTTTATGGAACCATGAAGTGGTTATATCCACTGGCTGTTTTCTGGCAGAGACACACCTAAACCTTTCTGAACTGCTGATAATGTATGCCTTCTATTTCTAAGGATCTTCAAAGAAATAGATTCCACTGCTTCCTTCAGCAAGCCAATTTAGTATAACAGCTCTCAGAAGCAGAAAATTCTTTCTTATAACCCTTTATGCACTTTTATTAACTGTTTCTAAAACTTATTTTCCTGGAATTGCATTTTAAATATTATTTAAATATTTTCTTAGTTTGGTATAATCCACTTAACTATTTTTAAAAACTACTAAAAATTGATCATTGTTTAATTAGTAGAAATATTCTCATAAACCATGCTTCCTCATAAGTAGTCTACGTTTCTCCCTTGGTATCTGCAAGGGATTGACTCCAGAACCCCCTATGAATACCAAAATCCAGGAATGTTCAAGTCCCTTATATGAAATAGTGCAGTTTTTGCATATAACTCACACCTATGCTCCTTATACTTTAAATCATCTCTATATTACTTATACTACCTAATACAACCTAAATTCTAGGTAAATAGCTGTTATATTTTTTATTCTGATTATTTTTTATTGT
This sequence comes from Homo sapiens, assembly GCF_000001405.40. Classification (NCBI taxonomy): domain Eukaryota; kingdom Metazoa; phylum Chordata; class Mammalia; order Primates; family Hominidae; genus Homo; species Homo sapiens. The sequence goes on from NC_000002.12 coordinate 148,235,194, forward strand.
TGTCATGTTATTTGTATTGTCTTTTTTCTGAATGTATTTGATCCAAGCTTGCTTGAATTTTTAGATGCAAAACTTGTGAATACAGAAGACTGACTATACTATCAAATTTCTTTTTCTTACATTTCCTTTCCTAACTCATCCACACATATATTATTTTGAGCTTCAGTTATTCTTTAACCATCAGACTGTATCAATGGTATATAGCTTTAACTTATTAAGAATCAAGCCCTTTGTTTTTTATTAATTTCATTCTATTTGTGACCATGTAATTAATAAGCCACAGATATTTATAATTCTAATCCAAAGTGCTATTTCATTTATTTTCCACATTTTTAGGGAAAGTTATACTGGCAAAAACTTTTAGAGGTTAGAAAGGCAGTTGAACGTAGCAGGTATGATTTATAAGAATGCTACAGGCATACCTCAGAGATATTGCAGGTTTGGTTCCAGACTACCACAATAAAGCAAGCCATACATTTTTTTCCCAGTGCATATACAAGGTATCTTTGCACTATACTGTAATCTATTCAGTGTGTAATTGCATCATGTCTTTAAAAAACAATGCACATGCCTTAATTTTAAAATAGTTTTCTAAAAAAGGGGGAGTGTTTTGGGGGGTGGCGGGGACAGGCTCTTACTCTCTCTTCCAGGCTGGAGTCCAGTGGTGCAATCATGGCTCACTGCTGCCTTGACTTCCTGGACTCAAGTGATTCTCCCACCTCAGCCTCCCGAATAGCTGGGAATACAGGCATGCGCTATCACACCAGGCTAATTTTTATATTTTTTGTAGAGACAGGGTTTTGCCATGTTGCCCAGGCTGGTCTTGAACTCCTGGGCTCAAGCGATCTGCCTGCCTCAGCCTCCCAAAGTGCTGGGATTACAGGTATAAGCCACCATACTGGCCTCCTTTTGATAGTGAAAGGTCTTACCTGGATGTTGATGGTTGCTAACATCCAGGCAAGACCCTTTATTATGGCTGAAGATTGGGATGGCTGTGGCGATATATTGAAATAAGACAGCAAGGAATATTGCCACATCAATTGACTTGACTTGACAAAGTAAATTGGTTTTCAATTTACTTTGCCCAGATTGGTCAGAGGATTCACTATTTGTATTTGTAAGGCAGATACTATTTGTAAGGCAGATACAGCCTTAAAAAATACATTTCTTAAGTAGACTTGAAAGTCGATGGACTTTTCAAGTTAGAAGAGTTGATCCATGGACTACAGAAGGAATGTTATGTTGACAAGCATGAGAACAGCATGAATCTCCTTGTATATCTTCATCACAGCTCTTGGATGACTAGGTATACTATAAGTGAGTATAATTTTTCCAAAGGAGTATTTTTTTTCTGGGCAGTAGGTCTCAACAGCAAACGTAAAATAGTCAGCGAATCATGCTGCAAACAGATATGCTGTCCTCTAGGCTTTGTTGTTTCATTTATAGAGCACAGGCAGAGTAGATTTAGCATAATTCTTAAGGGCCCTGGGATTATTTGAATGGTAAATGAGCATTGGCTTGAACCTAAAGTCACCAACTGCATTAGTCTCTAAAAAGAGAATCAGTGGTTCCTTTGAAGCTTTGAAGTGGGACATTGACTTTTCTTCTAGTTACGAAAATCCCAGGTGGCATCTTCTTCCAATTGAAGGCTGTTGTATCTACACTGAAAATCTGGTGTTTAGCATAGTCACCTTCATCAATGATTTTAGCTAGAGCTTCTAGATCACTTGCTGCAGCTTCTCCATCACTACTTCCTGCTTCACTTTGTACTTCTATGTTGTGTAGACAACTTCTTTCCTTAAACCTCATGAATCAACTTGCTCTGCTAGTGTCAAACTTTTCTTCTGCAGCTTCCTCACCTCTCTCAGCCTTCATAGAACTGAAGAGAGTTAGGGCCTTTCTCTGGATTCAGCTTTGGCTTAAATAAATGTTGTAGTCAGTTTGATCTTCTATCCATGCCACTAAAAGTTTGTCTGTATCAGCAACAAGGCTGTTTTTCTTTCTTATCATTCATGTATTCACCATAGTAGCACTTTTAATTTGCTTCAAGAGCTTTTCCTTTGCATTCACAATTTGGCTAACTGTTGGGCGCAAGATGCCTGGCTTTCAGCTTGTCTTGGCTTTTGACATGTCTTCCTTACAGTGCTTCATTATTTCTAGCCTTTGATTTGAACTGAGAGACATGTGACTCTTCCTTTCATGTGAACACTTAGAGGCAATTATAGGTTATTACTTAGCCTAATTACAATATTGTATTTTCGGGGATTGGGAGGCCCAAGGAGAGGGAGAGAGACGGGGAAACAGCCAGGCATTGGAGTATTCAGAACACACATTTATCAGTTAAGTGTGCTCTCTTATGTTCAGGCAGTTCGTGGCACCCCAAAACAATTACAGGAGAAACATCAAAGATCACTGATTACAGATCACCATAACAGATATTATAATGAAAAAGTTTGAAATATTGTGACAGTTATCAAAATGTGACTCAGAGTCATGAAGTGAGCACATGCTGTGTGTGAAAACGGCACCGATGGACTTGCTCAGTGCAGAGTTGTCACAAAACTTCAATTTGCCAAGTACAATAAAACAAAGCACAAGAAAATGAGGTATGCCTACATTTAAGAACTCAAATTCACAGAACTGATTAAGGCTGATTTATTAACCACAACCGTGCATTCTACCAGCTGTGTGACCATGGGCAAATTGTTGATTTTTTTCACCCCCAATTTGTATATCTTTAAAATTTGAGTGCTAATAATAATATAACTGTGAGGATTAAATGGAATAGATAATATAAGTAATAAGCTTAGGTTCTTAGCACTGCCTAACATGTAATTCAATAAACAGATGACATAGTTATCCCACTCTGCAAAATAATTGAAAACAGGTTTCTTCATAGCAAGCTCAATTCTTAAAAAAGAACAATGAATTTGCTCATTCTATTTATGCCAAACTTGTTTTACATCATTGTTTCTGTTTTACTGCTGCTAAATTTTGTTCACATTGAAGTGTCCAAACAAGCAGTTTAGAGTTCATGTTTAAAAATATGAAAATGTGATTTATCCAGAAACCACATTAGAAAACATTATACCAATGGTTATTAATCTGAGTCTCATAGAAACTATGTACATTCCAAATTTTGTTTAAAAATGTAGGGTATGCATGGACTGTTCTAAAATTTTAACTGAAGTCAACCACTATTATTTAGAGAAATATTCCATTTATAGGACAGAGTGATTTGAGGAATCTTCTTGGGATTAAATCTCTTTTATGTATATATCGATCAGATGTTTATTTGGTCTGAAAAATGGATTCAATACTTCCACTAGAAAAATAAAAAGAAACAGATAATTTTGTTCTATTAATATTAGTTTTCTAGGTCTGCTATAACAAATTACCATAAATTGTGTAGCTTAAAATAACGAAAGTTTATTCTCTCACAGTTCTGGAGGCTAGAAGTCCAAAACTAAGTTGTTGGCAGAGCCTTGCTTTTTGAAGCCTGGTGGGGAGAATTTGTTCCTTTTGCTTGGCTGTGGCGTTGCCAGCAATTTTTGGCATTCCATGGCTTGTAGACATATTACTTCAATCTTTGCGTTCATCATCACATGGCATTCTCCCTGTGTGTCTGTTTCTCTTCTGCTCTTCTTATAAGGATTGGATTAGGGCCTACCCTAATTCAGTACGACCTCATCTTAATTACATCTATAAAGACTATATTTCCAAATAAGTTCACATTCATAGGTACTAGAGGTTAGGACTTGAACATATTTTTGGAGAAACATAATTCAACCCATAACTCTATCATATATATATATATATATTATATACACACACACACGTGTGTGTGTATGAGTGTGTATATATGTGTGTGTATATATGTGTGGGTGTCTGTATATATATATAACTGAGAATAGAATTAGAAAAGAAAAATGAATTTTGAAAACAAATTTCTTCTGTTCAGCCTCTGAAAAGATGTTATTTCACTTGTGATAAGACATGATCTATGACTAGATCTACATGTTTTGCCTAGTGATATCTGACACCACCATTTCTTGGACATCGACAGTTCCTTGATCATTCATTTTCCTATCTACTCTCTAGCTTTATTTGTTAAAATTTAAAGCAATAGCTATCATTTTGCTTGCTTTGTTTACTTGACATCAGAGTTCAAACAATAGGTTTACAGATTCAAGATCACAGGATACATACTACATGCATCAACAAATGAAATGCCCTACGACTTTAGAGATGGTATAGCATTTATATTTATAATCATACTTATAGTTATATTTTGTAAATGAACTTAGGTAAGATTTCCTTTTCCATATTTGTTTAAACCAGGGCCACCTTTTATTATTATGGGTAAGAAATTAAGAAAAATTGTTGACATTTATGAGTAACGTTTATTGATAATGTTTATGGGTTATATTATGGGTAAGAAATTAAGAAAAATTATTGACATTTCAAAATGAACAAGTTTATTTTATTTACTTACACACACACACACACACACACACACACACACATATATTGAGATAGGGTCTTGCATTGTAGCCCAGGCTGGAGTGCAGTGGCATGAACGTGGCTCAGTGCAGCCTTAACCTCCTGATCCTCCCACATCAGCCTCCTGAATAACTAGGACCACAGCTGCACACCACCATGCCCAGCTAATTTTTCGATTTTTTGTAGAAACGGGGTCTTGCCCAGCCATCCCATTACTGGGTATATACCCAAAGGATTATAAATCATGCTGCTATAAAGACACATGCACACATATGTTTATTGCGGCACTATTCACAATAGCAAAGACTTGGAACCAACTCAAATGTCCATCAGTGATAGACTGGATTAAGAAAATGTGGCACATATACACCATGGAATCCTATGCAGCCATTAAAAAAGGATGAGTTCATGTCCTTTATAGGGACATAGATGAAGCTGGAAACCATTATTCTGAGCAAACTATCGCGAGGACAGAAAACCAAACACTGCATGTTCTCACTCACAGGTGGGAATTGAACAATGAGAACGCTTGGACACAGGGTGGGGAACACCACACACTGGGGCCTGTCGTGAGGCAGGGGGAGGGGGAAGGGATAGCATTAGGAGATATACCTAATGTAAATGATGAGTTAATGGGTGCAGCACACCAACATGGCACATGTATACATATGTAACAAACCTCCATGTTGTGCACATGTACCCTAGAACTTAAAGTATAATTAAAGAAAAAAAAAAAAGAAATGGGGTCTTGCCATGTTGCCCAGGCTGGTCTCGAATGCCTGGGTTCAAGCAATCCTCCTGTTTCAGCCACCCAAAGTGCTGGGATTATAGGCATGAGCCACTGCACCCAACCTCATTATGAATTGTTAACATTAATTCAACTGCTTATTCTAGTAAAGCTCATTCTAGTGAAGACTCTTTCTAATCATTACTACATTTTTAGTATATATCTTCTTTTTGGTCATGTCCCATATAGTATTCAGGCAATTGTCACAGATATTTCATGTAATAAAACTTACATAGAACTAACTATTCTTTAGAAATTTCTGTTTCTTCAGGTTCACTGGCTGGTTTCTCTGCCATATCCAATGTGCTGTTAAGCCTATCCAGTGAATTTTTCATTTTGATACTATACTTTTTAGTTTCATAATTTGCATGTGATGCTTTTGAAAAATATTTGTTATGGTAAAATATATATAATATAAAATTTTATCCATTTTTAGGTATACTTGGTTCTTTTTTATTGGTTTTATTTCTCTGCTGAAATGCTATTTGGGCATTTATTATGATGATCTTTTTCTTTATGTTCTCGGTAATAGCTGCCATAAGGTACATGTATGAATCATCTCAGAGTCTGTTCTATTGGCTGCTCTTTCTGTGGACTTTGGTTTATATTTTTCTGTTTCTTTACATTTCTAAGAAATTTTTTACTGTATGTTAGATATAGATGACACACTGTAGAGACTCTAGATTCTGTTATCTTCTTCTGAAGAGTATTGACCTTTTTTCTAACAGTTAAATCAGTAGCTGCTCACATTTATCTAGTGAAGGCTTGGTTTGATGTTTTGTTAGAGAGTGGATCTATTTTGGTTTTGTTCTTAATCCTTAGGTGACTTCCTTAGTATAGGGATATAATATTTACTCCTAAAACGTGGTCCTTTATGGATTTCTGTGGAAAGCCTGAGGTGTTACTAATCTGCTTTTATTTGATGGGGTTCAAACTCGAAACTCTTTGTCTCATGTAATGAGCAGTAGAAGAAATCCTTATTTTTGCTTTCCAGCTGTTACTTTCCACTGGGTTTTTTGGAGTCTTCCCCATGCATGTACAGTTTAGGTGCCAGCCTAGGTCGGAATCAATATACAAATATTGTAACTCCTGCTTTGTATTTTCTTCCTTTCTGGGCCCCCCCTCCCTGACCCTCGATTTTCAGCCATTCTCTCAACCCTGAATTCTGGCCTCTGATACTTCAAGCAAGTAAGACTGTGGCTTTCTGCTTAAGTTCTACTTGCTCATATACCATTGTACCTCAGGAGAGCCATATAAACGTAGAATTATATGTTGCCCAGTGATGTTATCTTCTTTCAAGGGTCAAATCCTCACTCTTTCTATTTCTGCCTTCATTTGGTCACTCTCTAACATGTCTTCAAATAATTGTGTTTTGCTTATTGGCTTTAGTATTTTTTCACCATTTACAGTTGTTGTCAGTGAGAGAGTCAGTGTGATTTAAGTTATTGATTAATTACTTGAATTGGAATTACTGGGTCTTTTTACTTTCATATTTACCTGTTTGCTTTATTATTTCATTTCATCATTAGTGTAGTCACTTTGACCTAGGTTGGATTCCTGGTTCTGCTGTTTATTACTGTGTTACTCCAAATTTCTGATCTTCAGTGTTCCTGTATGTAAAGTGGAAATGATCATATGTATCTCAGAGTTGCTTTAGAATATTAAATGTGAAAATATACGTAAAGCATGTGACACATAACCTAGAAGTTGACACTTGTAAATACTACTTCCCTTTATTACCATAATTATTCTATAAGGTTGGAAGGTCAAATATTACTATATGGGATGAATCACTTAAGACCTTACTACTAGATACCAGAAGTACAGTTTAATTATATTAAATATGTAAGGTAAGTTTATGCCTGCCAGAGGTTCATTTCTATATTACACACACATATATATATATATTCATTTCCATATTATCACATCAAGAAGAATTAACTGCAATTCTGAGGAAATATAGAAAAATAAGTAGGGCATTACTGCATGGCCAGTGTTCTGGGCTGTGTCCTTTTTCTCTTCTGGGTACACTTAAAGCCAGCCCACTGTTAGGTCGCCAGAAGATATTACTGCAGTATTTCTTTTCTATCAAAGAAGAATGAGTCTAAGGAAGTTTCTGATTTTAGAGTCAGATGGAATTTCCAGTGAGAAACCAGGCCCAGTGAAATAAATATGTGTGTATGTGATCAGTGAAGAATGTATTAAAAAACTACCACTATATAATGAGCTATTCTATTGTCAGAGTTTCCTTATGACTAAAAAGTGAGTGATTTGTACCCTTGCTAAACATGTAATTTTAAAAACTGCTTATTGAATGGTCTCTGCAATGAGTAGTTAACGTGTCTGTCCTGCCTATTAGAATCATATTTTGAATGTGTGTATGTATAGATTGTTTTGTGTTATTTTTAAGCAGTGCATAGGATTTTATGTGTGGGTTTCAAAAACGTTTTGCTATAGTGGAAGTAATGTTATGCTGAAGACAACAGGGGAAACTGGTTGAGGTTGCATTAACTCTCTCTGTAAGCATTATTACAGTTGCCATTCACATTTATGCCTTTTCAAATAGAAGCCCATCAATCACGTAAACTTAGGGCCAGATTCTGATCTCTAATGCATAGCATGAATTGCTACATATCTTTTTTCCACCAAAAAAAAAAAACTGCTCAGTAACATCTGAGATTAAAATCTGTCCTTTCAAATTGATTTTATTTTTATCTAGACTAAGAAGCAAAGTATAGTGTCAGTCCTGTCAGGACGTGATTTCTTTTTTTATATAGAATTCTTACAGAATCAATTGTTTATGTATTTCTGTAATCATAATAGTAGCTCTGAGAAATATAGAAAAATTATTGTTATACTTTTTAAAATGGAATCTTTTTATCTCTATGCAATCACATGTGCTAATGTAGATTGTAGGGAAAAGCTGTATTATTAAAAATAAATTACCTAAGGTTATAATATATGAAAAGCAAACAAACCTGTTTACGTAGATTATTCTGTTTATCAGAATATATTTTATATTTTCCATTAAAATTTAACAATCATATTAAACCTTACCAATAAAGTAAAATATTTAAAATAATAAAGCTATCTTGTTTTGGCATTTGTGTGAGGGTTTTTTTTAAAGTTGTAAGATAATTGACAAAAAATTGGAAGATAACATTTTTATTTAAATTTTTTCTTACCCAAGGAAAATTAGTTCAGTTTATGTATATTTTTATATTTAGCAGTGTATATTGAAAACTTGTTATGACCAACGCTCCAGGCTAGACCTTTTTCGGGGACCCAAGAAGATGAATCTGTTATCACCCGGCCTCAAAGAAGCATATAGTTTAGTAGGACAAACAAAAGCACACATATCACACATAGATAAGTATAGAGTGGAGAAACTTTCAGACTGTACTTCTTAGCACTATGATTCTATAGAAAAATCTGGCTATGTGTCTTTTTTTATGTGTATTTCTGAATTACAAGTGATCTTTAAGGGAACCTAGCATATTGCCTGGAACATAGTAGGTGTTCAAAAATGTTGAAAGAATGGGCGAATATTCTCTAGTGCCTGGGATAAGACAGCATGCTAGATGTAATGTGAGCCTATGTATGTATGTTAACTGTCTCTGCTGGAAAACAAAGTACTTTAGAATTAAACTGATTTTATCTGGCTTTCACCATTTTATAGAACAAAATAGGCAAATTATTTCTTTGAACTCTGGTTTCTTCATCTGTAAAGTATGGTGACAATACCTATCTTATAAGTTTGTTGTGAAGAGTGAATGAGATAATGTATGTAAAGCTTATATTGTTATAGTGGCTATAAGAGTTTAGTTGAGAAATTAGTGTTACAGTTACTATTACTATTATTTTTACTAATAAAGGGTGGGTAAAAGTACCACATTATGAGACAGTAGTTAAACCATAACATTGACTTTGCATGTGTATAAGAAGCAGAATTTTTGTTTTGAATAGGTAGCCCTTCATTCAATCTATATTATGTGAGTTTTTTTAATTAAGGAAATATGTCATGAGCTATAAAATTAATTCATTATTTTACTTTGTACTTGATCATTTTGTCTTTGTATGTTGAAAACTCAAATAAGTGCTTAGGAATTAGTATTTACTTTTTAAAAAAGTATTCATTCAACAAATATTTACTGAGTGCTATTTGCCAAGCATTGTAGTGGGCACTGGTGACACAGCAATAAACAAGGCTGATGAAGTCTCTGCCCTCAAAAAGTTTACCTTTTCTGTTTCATTTTTAATGGACCTGGATTTGCAGGTCTGGCCCTTCAAAGCTGGTTCACAGATGGTTAATGGTGTCCTAAACAGTGTGCTTGAGATGTAGGGAGTAGTTGTCACAGGAGTGAGACATGCGAGGTTTTTTTTCCTATGACCCATGAATCATAACCAGGCCAAATACCAACTGTAAAAAGTTACTACATTCAAGCCTACATTCCTGGAAATTATATGTAATTGTTCTCCTTTGCCATCTTAAACAAAAGATAAATTTTAGAGCATGCTTTACAAAATTATGAGGGCCTACGTACAAATGAATAACAGAGTTAGTTAAGGAAGGCACATGATCACTATTGAATCTAACTTGTTAGCAATATTTTACTTAGAAGTTAAGCACTGTGGCTCACGCCTGTAATCCCAGCAGTTTGGAAGACCGAGGCAGGAGGATGGCTTGAGCTTAGGATTCAAAACCAGCCTGGGAAACATAGTGAGACCCTGTCTCTACAAAAATTTTATTTTTATTTTTTAAGACAGAGTCTCGCACTGTTGCCCAGGCTGGAGTGCAGTGGCACTATCTCAGCTCACTGCAACCTCCGCCTCCTGGGTTCAAGCGATTCTCCTGCCTCAGCCTCCCGAGTAGCTGAGATTACAGGCGCCCACCACCATTCCTGGCTAATGTTTTGTATTTTTAATAGAGATAGGACAAAAATATTTTTTTTAATTAGCTGAGTGTGGTGGTGTGTGCCGGCTTGTGCCTGTGGTCCCAGCTACTCAGGAGGCTGCAGTGGGAAGATGGGTTGAGCCCTGGATGCTGAGGCTGCAGTGAGCTCTGATTATGCCACTGCATTCCATCCTGGGAGACAGAGTGAGACCCTGTTTCAAAAAATATATATCTATATATTACTTTAAGTATAAAGAATTAAGTTTCTTTTTATCTTTTGAGTATTAGAAAACCTTGGGCTTTGGGCTGGTACCTAGGTTCACAGTTATTTTCTGTTTGGAAATTTTCTTCTAACTCTCCCACCATTAATCACCTTATAGCTAAGTTTATGGTGAAAACATTCTACTAAGCAGAATAGACTATCACTTCTTATTTTCTATGCTTTCCTGTTTGTTTACATGAGACATTAAGTAAACTAAGAGGATACAGTTTTCTTGCTAATTTAATTTCTTACTAATAGGAGAATTTGGGCAAGTTTACTTAATCTCTTTTGCTTAGCTGTAAAGTATAGATGAAAATATTAAACTGATTGGTATGTGATTCAGATTTCAAAATGAAAATGAAGTCATAGGATACATGAGGTTTCATGTAGTTATTATTGGCAAGAAGAGAGATGATCATTAATGATAGAAATTGCTGTTAATTGAGCATTTTTAAGTGCCCTATGCTACATATAGATTATAGTTAGGCCTCAAAATAAATCTGCATGATAGGAATCATTATTTCCAGATTCTGTATAAAGGAATATACTCTAAAAAACATTAACTGACTTGCCCAAGGACTTTCAAGTTAGTCAGTTAGTGAGCCAGAATTCAAATTGGGATTTGTATATATCGGAATCCAGCACTCATAACATTACATTGCCTTTCTTGGGTGCTAAAACACAGAGTGGAGTGAAAATGCACATGCAACCTTAGATTCTCTATTATGGCCTTACTCTCTTCTCCTTTTAAAATTTTTATTCATGTATTATGTGTACATGTTAAATAGTACTGAGTGCCCCAACCCTTGGAATTCATCTACAGATAACTGCTTTTAATTGTTTGCTACTAGCTGGGCACGGTGGCTCATGCCTGTAATCCCAGCACTTTGGGAGACTGAGGCAGGTGGATCATGAAGTCAGGAGTTCAAGACCAGCCTAGCCAAGATGGTGAAACCCCACGTCTACTAAAAATACAAAAATTAGCATGATGGCAGGCAGCTATAATCCCAGCTACTCAGGAGGCTGAGGCAGGAGAATTGCTTGAACCCAGGGAGCACAGGTTGCAGTGAGCCGAAATTGCGCCACTGCACTCCAGCCTGGGTGACAGAGTGAGACTCCATCTCAAAAAAAAAAAAAAAAAAAAAAAATTGTTTGCTACTGTTCAGGTACCTGTTTCTAAATGTTTTTTTAAAACTGCTATCTCTAGGTTTACCAATATGAGACATTATAGAAAGAAGTTATAGATCATTTGTCTATTATCACGGATGATGACTTAGCATACTTTTACCACCTAATACCTCTTTGTTATCCCATCCTTGAAATATAGTTAGTTAAACCAAAGACAAATGTTTACCTTATTGATGTTATATAAATATTATTCTCTGCAACACCAAATAGTTATAATTACATTTCCTTTCCTGTAAAGCTTTTTTTAAATTGTCTAGAGTTTTTCTCTCATTCTGTCATCAGCTTTTTAGAATATAGAAAAAAATGTCTTCCACCTAATTCTTTTCCTGTCTCTATCACTGTTTCTTGAAACCATGGTTGGTATAAATATTACTTTTTATTCAGTTTGTTTCTTGAATAAATTTTGCAGCAGATTTTCTTGCAGACTGTATGACTTATCTGTGTCAGAAATTAATTTTAGTTCTTAAAGAGCCTCTGTCCTTGTTTCCAAAAGTTTACCAAAAACTACATTTGAGCCATTTTGAATAAAATACACAAGCTTTAAAACAAACATTGGCAATCTTTTTTTCACATCAAATAACCTTTATGGTAGGAGGAATATTTTAATCAGGCCATCCTTTAAATAAGTTACCATGGGTTTTCAGCACATAACCAGAGAAGATAGTAGCCCAAAGCCAGTTCAGATATTGAGTTCCTTTAACAAACATAACAGCTACCTAGGGACATTCTAAATTTAAGCTTGTACAGCGTATTGAGTGGTGGTATACAGTGGTAAGTCCACTGAGCCTAACAATTTATAAAATTATAAATATTATATAAGAGCCAACAATTAACAGTCTTTTCCTTGGGGTTATGTGGAGGGTGGGATGGGGGCTACAACTGTTCACTTTTATACTTCCATACCATTTGAATTTTTTTCAAAATGAGTATTTGTTTATTTTTGAAACCAGAAAGAAAAAGGATTAAAGATATTCTAAAAGAAATAATGTAAAGGATAAAGCTGAGGGGAAAAAAATAAAATTTAAACTTTATGTCTTGGTAGTATGGTGAAGTTAGGTACCCTGACATCTCATGATAAACAACTAAAAACAATGTGAAATATAAAAATAGTGTTTATATGCAGCTATGAACTGGAAAGATGGCAAATACTAAGAGGCTAAAACAAACAAACACAAACCCTACATAAAAGTAGTGTTCAGAGAGGTAAGCCTTAAGGATACTTGCTGAAGCTGGTAAATTCTGGGTTACAATTTTGTTTTCATGGCCTCCTATTGAAAGAGTAACAAGAGACTGTCAAAATCGTGGACTCATCCAAGATGGAGAGTCTATACTTAAGGTCCCGTCAGTACGGACGTCCAAATATCTACATCTTTATTGGAAGGGTACCTAGTAAAATCAGCTATCACTTCCCATGACACTGCAAGGAAAATTGGTTAATTTAAACCTTGACATTGAGCATAGGAATGAAATATCTCTTTGATCATTTGAATATCAAGCTGGTATTGTGGGTTTGCTACTGAAGTTCACACTACATAAGTGATACCAAAAAACAAAACAGAACAAAAAACAAAAATTAAAGCCAAGAACTTAAGGTAGTCCCACGTAGCTGGCAGAAGCAAACATAAATTCTCATTGAAGAAATCTACCTTCAATATAGGACCCCAAAAATTTCCACAGGTAAAATTCCCCCAAAATATGAATTTACTGTCAAAAATTAAAAACCAAGGCATCATGAATGAGTGTCAGAAACTATATTCCAAAGAAGCAGACTCATAAATATTTTATATATTAAAAATTATCAGGGAGAATATAAAATGTCTGTTTAATAAAGAAATATGAGATTAAAGATAATGATATGACATTCCTGAGGAAGAAGAATAAAGTAGGGAGACTTATAAGATATGAAGGTTAATATAACGCTTTAGTGATTAGTAGAGTGTGATACTGGTAAAAGATAGACAGACTGACCAGTGGAACAAAATAGATTGCTTAGAAACATCTATCTATAGGTGGTAAGTTGGTATATAAAAGAGGATATAAAATTAGGTATATAAAAAAGAGGTATATAAAATTAGGATAAGGGTTGACTTTTCAATAAGTATACTGGGATCATTGATTATCCGTTAAGAGGAAAATGAAATTTGACCCCCTACTTTATATCATATGTAAATATCAACTCTAAGTGGAATAGAGACTTAAATATGAAAAGCAAAACTATACAAATTTTAGGAGAACATCTTTCGAGTAGAGAGAAAATGAAAAAGCCCATTAAGGAAAATATTGTTAAATTTTATTGAATTACAATTGTGATATTCTTTTCATCAAGAGTCACCTTAATAAGAATGAAAAGACAAGTTGCAAATTAGTGAAGACATTCACAATATATCTAATTGAAAAAGAATTATTACAAGTTAGTATAAAAAAGACAAAATTGGAAATTTGGCAAAGACTTTTTGTGTCTTAATCTGACTTTGCTTTCCAATAACCCTTTGTTTCTGATCATCTCAACCTGTTTGACCACCTGCCTACCCATAAAAGGGGCAAAATCCACTGCCATGAGTTCTTCAGTTATTGTTTTGGAAAAAACAATAAGTAAAATAATTAAAAGGAAAATTTAAATCAGCATACTGAAAAAGTTACTCCTGAGCTTACTCACTTTCATATCTTTTTCTCTACCCCCACACAATTTTATTATTCCCTTCTCTCAGCTTCTGACTTTTGACACAGTTCATTACATTGCATTCACTCTTCTTGTATAGTATCATGTAGATACTGTACTATATACTGGAGAATTACCACTGATAGTTTTCCCCTGACATGACTTATATAAATATATATCATTTTTGTGTTGATAAGTCTTTTAAAATTGTGCTTCTTTTTAATTGTGAATTTTGTGGGCAGTATTATTACTTACCTCACTCTTTTTCCTCCTGCCTTCTATTACTATCTAAATCAGTGGTTCTCATCCAGGGGAATTTTGCCTCCTAAAGGAACATTTGACAATATCTGGAGACATTCTCAATTGCCATTACTGGTGGGGTTTGACTGCAGGCCAGGGATGCTGCTTCACATCCGACAGTGCACAGGATAACCCTCCACAGCAAAGTATTATATAAAATGTAAATAGCGCCGCAGTTGGAAACTCAGCTTTTAACTTTTTTTCCGCTACTTTCTTATTATGCTTGTCTTCTGTTTTTGGCTCTACCTCTCATAACTACCCTCGTAGACCCACTCATCTTCCTAATACAATAAAGAATATGTTCTCATTTGGCTACTACAATTAATATATAGCCATAAGATACAACTTTTTCAAGCAAGATCATGTCTTTTGTTGGAACATGGATGGAGCTGGAGGCCATTATCCTTAGCAAACTAATGCAGGAACAGAAAACCAAATACCACATGTTGTCACTTATAAGTGGGCACTAAATGATGAGAACTCATGGACACAAAGAGGGAAACAACATACACTGGGGCCTACTTGAGGGTGGAGGTTGGAAGGAGGGAGAGGATCAGAAAAAATAACTACTGGGTGACAGCAATAATCTGTACAACCAATCCCTGTGACACAAGTTTACCTGTGTAACAAACCTGCACATGGACCCCTGAACCTTCTTCTTTGCTGGGCCCCACAGAATAGTACTGAAAGTGGGTAATGGATTGGCAGAAACAGGTTTAATTGAAGACAACTAGGGCTTTTCTGCTTTTGAAGATCAGGGCTTTTTCTCCATAGAGATTATGAAATTTAGACCAATTAACATAACGTGATGAAAAACTTCACCAGATAGTAATCTTACCTTGTTTTTCATTTCCGGACTTCATGGAAAAGTAACATTTAATGAGTGGCTAGTTTTATGTGCTAGTCATTATACTATGGTGGTGCATTCAGAGAGCTAGCTTGTTAATTCTCAGAACAACTCTAAGAGAAATGTTATTATTCTTATTTCACAGAAAAGAAAGCTGGGACTTAAAAGAAAAGTAGATGTAAATGCCTTGCCCAATGTCACTCGGAGGAGCCTGATCCCAAGTTTTCTAACTCAAGTTTAGTGTTCTTTCTGCTGCCCTATTTTGCCACTTCATCACTTGCAGCATGCATGCCTGTTTCATCTAGTTCTTTTTAAAGCTTTTGCTATCTGGAAAATAAATTATTTTTAAAATAGTGGGGTTTTTTAATGTGGTTTTTGTTTTTTGCTTTTTTTATTTTTTACCCTGACACAATTCAGAGTGCCTAGTATAGTGCTATAGGTACTAAAAAACGCTTAATAAATATTCTTTTAAAATAAAAAAGGGTGTCGGGCAAAAGGGTGCAAAAGGCAGGAGTGCCTGACCTCTTCAGAACAGTGCAAGAAGTCTGCCAGAGCAATTATTTTATAACAAAAAGGGCTAGATTTTTCAGTCTAAATAAGGACTTAGTTAACATTTCCATTCGACTCGAGAAATACTGTACTTCAGAAGCCCTTGTTACTTGATGTATTTGAATCGTTTATTTCACTGATTTTTTTCCAGTTGCAGTGAAGTTAAATGTCATAATAAGAAAGCCAAGAATTTCCATGCATTATGGGCTTACCTGTGACTCATCATTCTTATCATCAAAATACAACATGATTGGTCTTCATTTTCATAATTTTGTTTTACAATGAGAAAAAAGCATTTGAAAGTATTTAATACCCATTTATGATATTAAAAATAAAGTTCTCAGTAACTTGTACCTCATAAGCCAAAGTAGAATGGCTAACATAAATTTATTCATAGTATACATTTTACGTAATTCCTATTCAATTGAAAATACCTCTTGGTCATAATTCTTGAAGAGTTGTTATTTTTCAGAGTCATTCCTTCATATTTTAAGGTGTTCCAAATTCTGCGTATTTAGTTAAATGTTAGTATGTGTAAAAATGTTTAAAAGATAACATTTAGCAAATGTACCTATGGTCAACAATTAATGCAATTGTTGACTTTTCTAACATTTGACTGCTGTATGCCCAAAAAGACAGGTCATTTTGAGAGGGAAAGAAGTAATCTTTGCAATTTCCCTGCCTTGCTATCACGAGTGAGATATCAGCGCAAAATAATAATTGTATTAGATAAATGAGTACATTTTAGAAGTTACATGAATAATCCAACTCAAAATGATTCTCAGCCAAGTGTGGTAAATTTTGTTTTCCCGCACCTCACTCCTGCCAGAGACAGTTTGGAAATGTGTAGAGGCATTGTTGGCTGCCACAGTGATTGGAGAGAGAGAGCTATCAAGAGCGTCCAGGAATATAACATTTTCAGTGGATCAGGGGATAGTTCCATAGAACAAAGGCTTTTGCTGTCCAGAGTATCTGAAGTGTCCTCATTAAGAAACACTGTCTGGTCACGGTGACTCACGCCTGTAATCCCAGCACTTTGGGTGGGTGAGGTAGGCTGATTGCTTGAGCCCAGGAGTTCAAGGCCAGCCTGAACATAGCTAGACACCCTCTCTACAAAATACAAAAAAAATAGCCAGGCATGGTGGTGTGCACCTGTAGTCCCAGCTACTGGGGAGACTGAAATGCGAGGATCACCTGATCCTGGAGAAGTTAAGGTTGCAGCGAACCCAGATCATGCCACTGCACTCCAGCCTGGGTAAAAGAGTGAGATCCTGTCTCAAAAGGAAAAAAAGAAACACTGAAAGATACAGACTCATATTCTAGTTATGAATAGGTGTGAAATACCAGATATCATGTATCTTTATGGAAAACCTCTGCAAGTTAGTGGATCTTTAAGTGGATCTGTCTCCCAGGCTGGAGTGCAATGGTGCAATCATGGCTCACTGCAGCCTCGACCTCCCAGGCTCAGGTAATCTTCCTACCTCTGCCTCCCACATAGCTGGGACTGCAGGCATGCACCATGATGCCCAGCTAATTTTTGTATTTTTTGTAGAGACAGGGTCTCACCATGTTAGCCAGGCTAGTCTCAGACTCCTGAGCTCAAGCAATTTGCCTGCCTCAGCCTCCCAAAGTGCTGAGATTGCAACAATGAGCCACTGCACCCAGCCTGGAAAATATTTTAAATTTAACAAATATCTAGCCATGAGCATGTTTATTGGAAGAATCTCATTTACCCACATCATCATGGCATTGTGGTGTCTGAAGAATGTGTCTTGAACTATTGTTATGGACGTTTTTCTCTAGTGTTCACTTTTTAAAAGAAGGCCCAGAAATGGAAATCGGGACTTAATCTCCTATTATGAGGAGATTATTGGGGTTTGGGTTCTGAAACTCAGCAGTAAAAATTGGCTTAGATCTAAGTAAAAAAGATTCACCTAATGGCCTGGTACTTCATGCAAAAGGTCAAAATAAAAAGCAGAGGGAACTCTACTAGGAGATTGTAACACCATCATCTTCACTACAGACTGAGAAAATTGATAAAGAATTGAAATATATTGACCCCCTACTCTTTCCTAGGCATTGAAAAAAGACCTTTATATGTAGTTATTCATTTATTTGTACAGTAAAATTTCACTGTAATGTACAATAGGAAAACTGCTGGGGAAATATATAGCTCTTACAATCCAGGGACATCAAGTATGATAATGGAGACAGAGAAGCAGTCAGTTGTAACTATATATGACAAATGCTATAATATGTAGTACATATTGGTTGCTGTGAGGGCATATACAGGCATACCTCAGAGATACTGCAGGTTCGGTTTCAGACCACCCCAGTGAAGCAAATGTTGCAATAAAGTGAACCATAGGATTTGTTTTGTTTTCCCAATGCATATAAAAGTTATCTTTATTCTATACTGTAGTCTATTAAGTATGCAATCTCATTATATCTTTAAAAGCTATTGTCAGGTTCTAACTGAGGTCCGAGGGGAGTCAGTGGGTGAGTGGCGGGTAGCTGGAAAAACACTCAAGGAATTGTAGACAGTTTCAACATGGCTTTACTCTCTCTCTGGGCATGAGCAAGCCATATGTAGAGCATTAGCAGGGTAATTATACCTTTTACAGACAATAGTGGCTCCAAGCCAAGCACGAGCTCATGTGGTTGATCACCTAATGTGACTCACGTGACATGGTTACATAAATGTGCGGGGTTGTGCACCTGCACTCCAAACCTGCTGAGTCATGCTGCGCTGGAAGTCTACCCCAGCCTACTCCTGACTAAAGCACAGCCATTTCCCTTACTTTCCACGCTCTAGGCCAGGGGCACCCTCTGGGCAGGAACACATACCCATAGGGCAGAGTCCTGAATCCATAACTCACAACAACAATACAGAGAGGAACAGCTCACTACTAGGATCCCAGCTATGCCACTCATGACTATTAGGGCCCAGCATAGGCCAGAGCCTAGGGATGCCCACCCTCTCTGCAGGGGTTCATCAGCAAGGCTCTTGACTGCCTTAATCTCCCATGACCCACTCGCAGGGCTGCTATTATGTTCTGCTGATTGTTAGGGATAAAGGTAAAACATTGTGTTCCTAAAAGGGCACAGGTGCCTCCTTAGGCAGCAGTTACTATGTTTAAGGCCATTTAGTTTTGCAACACCACCTTTCTGATCTAATCAACCTCATCCGTTAACAGGAGGAGTGCCACTCAGGTGGAATTCAGAACCTGAGTGGTGTGCTGTGCAAGAACAGTAACTTGTACTTCTACAGTTATGACACCTGCTCCAGGGATAGTCATTGTCAAGGGGTAGAACCACCAGGGGGCTCATCACAATCGCAGAAGCTGAGAGCATAGCACCTCCCATTTATGCAGGCATCTGGGCAACATGAGGAGAACAGTGGCAGGTACATAAGGTCACCCCCAGGTACAACGTCTGCTGGTAGGTAAGGCCACCCTGTGTCCTCACAGACCCATAAACTCCTAAGGGGGCACAAAATCCATCAGGGACCAACCTTGGTGGGACTGCTTGTTCCACCATATGTTCAGTGTGATGACATGTGTTATGTTTACACAGGCTGCGATGGGTATCCATCCCACACAGTGGTGTTACCACAGTGTTGCTCTATGCACTGCGGTGCTTGGGCTGGGGGTACTACATGTTCCCCCACGAGCCAGCCCCACCCATCATAAACACTATGGGCCAGCCAGGGGGCAGGCGTGCTGTGGGTCTTGCAGTGTCCTTTGTCCAAAGCTTGCTGCATCATGTTCCAGGCATTGTTATGGAACCCCAAGTCTCCAGCCATGTCCAGTTCTCTGCAGATGCTGAATGCATGTGCCAAGGCACAGCTGCTGCTGGAAGGGTGGTACAGAACCAACAGCTGGAAACATTGGTCATCTCAGCATAGGTGTGGGCCCAGTCCACAATGCAGTTGGAGCATGTTAACCTACGGTCAAAACGACAGAGCAGGCACAAGTACTAACAAAGGTAGATCATGTCCCTCAGGCAACATAGAAGCTAACTTTTTGTCCCGGGATAACAATGCAGCTGCCAAGGGCTTCTGCCCTGGGCAGTCGTACCACACCTTCTCAGCTCCCCGTGGTTCCTTTGGGTGCTGTATCTGTGCCAAAGTCAGAGGGGAGCTCATAATAGGCCACACGGACAGTACATGTGTCCCCCAGAGGAGGGCTCTTTCCCTGGCCATTCCCCTATGAGCAGTCAACCATGGGGGCCGTGTATTGAACACCCAAGGAGTAACATGCAAGTCATACTGTAGGCCTTTCCCCCAGGGAGCTACAATGACCAACCACTGGCAATGGGGTGCTTGGAGGGTCCATGGCCACAACCAGGTTTTCTATTCCCCTGCCTTCAGGTGCACTAGGTCAGGTAACAACAGGTTACCATTCATCGCCATACCTGGTTGGAGGAGGTCATCCTTAGTGTGTATCTACAACTGAATGGGGGTGGCAGCCTGTTGTAAGAAAGCCTCCACCAGGGCCAGGCTGCCTTTCCGTGGCCATTCATTCGAGGTTTAGAGCACCAGGTCCAGCCTGGAACTCCAGCCCCACAAAGACAGGAGTGTGACATGCAAGTATAACCCATTCTTCAAGAGCCCATTATATTGCCCAATCATACCTGCAGCTTGCAGGTTGTATGGCACACGGAATCTCCACTTTATGTCCATTTGTTATGCCAAGTGTTGTAGGTGTCATCCAGTGAAATGTGTTCTCCTCTCAGTCTCAACGGCCAGAGGGTGACCATACAGGGGACATAAGTATTTCAGGGCCTGGATGGTGTTCTGTTGGTCAGCCACCCTACAAGTGTAGGTGAACAACAGGCCTGTGGCCGTGTCCACATCTGTTAGCACATGCGTATACCCTTGTGACTTTGGCAGCGGCCCGATGTAGTCTATTTGCCACCTGGTCAAGGGCACTCACCCTGTTGTTACTTGTTGCGTAACATTGGACAGCTGCCTCATTTAGGGCATGCCTGAGCACATGCCAGGCATTTCTGAAAAGCCTCCCAAATGTCTTGCGTGGGCAGGGACAGACCCCAATGCGTATTGACCTGTTGTATCAGTTTACCCCCTGCATGTCCCAATTTCCAGTGTAGCCACAAGGCCACATCTCATGTAGGTGCCGACTCTAACCATTGGACCTTGGCCAAGGCATCTGCCTCATCATTGCCGGGGGTGGCCAAAGGCATATGGCCTGACACATGATAAACGGTTACCTGTTTCTGATGACCCATTTCCCAGAGGTCTTGCCACGTGGCTTGACCCCAAATGGGTTGGTGGCCGACTAGCAACTTCTGTATTTTCCAGGTAGTTAACCACAAAGTTAAGCCTTGGTAGACCACCCAGCTATTGATACAGATTACCATCAGTGTCACCTCCTTGGTGATCACCATCCACACTGCTCTAAGTTCAGCCCATTGGCTACTTTGTCCACACCGGGTTTCAAACCATATGGTGTCAGTACTAGGTTGGACTGCAACAGCGGTCCAAGCAGTTATAGCACCTCGGCTAGACCCATCTGTGTACCATGGCCTATCGAGAATGGGGGGACACCCTCCCTTAAATGCTGAAGGCTCAGGGTCTAGGGGTGCCTCAGGCCCCATGGCCTTAGGCCCCATGACCTTATCTTGCATTAGGACTATAGGTCCCAAGACCTTTTGCAGCTCTGCTGCTATGGTACTTGTACTCAGCTTACTCCACTGCTCCAAGTAGGCACTCCACTTTGCCAAAGTGGATGTCTGTGCCATCCCAGTTCAGGGGGTCGTTACCCATGAATGCACCCATCCTGCTATAGGCTAAGTCATCCACACGATGACTGCACCCTGCCCTGTCACACTCTCACAAGCCTGAAGGGTGGCATATATAGCTGCTAGCTGTTTCTCTATCAAGGAATAACAGAACTCAGCTCCCTTCCATAGTTGGGACCAAAAGCCTACCGGTGTTCTCAAGTGCTCTGTGCACTGCCACAGGCCCCAAACAAAACCATCTGTGTTCATCTGTGGTCACATGCACATCCAGCTCAAATAGGCGCCCCTGGTCCACTACCCATAGGGCTTATGCCTGCTGAATAGCCCGCTTGGCTGCCAGGAAGGCAGTCTCAGCTGCATCATTCCAATCCCAGGTAGCTCCCTGCTTTGTTAATCAATGGAACGGTTTTATCATTTGAGCTAAATGGGGCATAAATGCCCACCAATATCCCAGGAGGCCCACAAAAATTTGCAGCTGCTTCGTTGTGGTGGGCTGGAGATATGCCTGAATCTCATCAACGATAGCCTCTGGGATGGCCTTTGTCTTACCCGACCAGATAACTCCCAAGAATTTGACAAATGAAGCAGGCCCTTGGACCTTAGATTTGTTGACGGCCCAACTGCATGCTGCCAAATGTCGCCACAAGAGGGATGCCACCACTTCTAAATCTGCAAGAGAATCAGAGGTTAACATATCATCAATATAATGGAATAGGTGGACCCATTCTGGCATTGGCCAGGCAGCTAAATCCGTGGCAACTAGACCATGACATATGGTGGGACTATGCATATAGCCCTGCAGCAACACTGTAAAAGTTCATTGTTGCCTGTCCCATGTGAAGGCGAACTGTTCCTGGCTCTCTGGAGTGATATCGATGGAGAAAAATGCATTGTCTAAGTCCACTACGTAGTGGTACTGTCCCACTTCCATCATCAAACAGTCCATCAAATCCACGTTTGATGATACAGCTTCATGCAAAGAGGGTGTTACTTTTTTCAGTTCCCAATAGTCCACCATCATCCACCAGTTTCTATCAGGCTTTCTAACTGGCCACACTGGAGAACTGTAGGGGCTATGGGTGCCACGCACTATCTGCACCTCTTCCAGCTTTTTGTCTCAGTTATCTCTGTATGTCCATCTGGCAAGCAGTATTGATGGGTGGAAGTAACCAGTCAGGGTTGTGGCAGATCCTGAGGCTGGTGATGTGTATGTCCGTGCAGCACCAGCTACACCACATGCACTCGGAGTCTGAATTCCCTGGCTGTAGTTTGTAATGCCAAGCCATGTAAAATGTCCACCCCCAGAATGTATTCAGGTATGGGAGAAACACACACAGTATATAAACGGGGAGTCAAACAACGGATGCCAAGGTACAGAGATACAGGTTTCACTTTCACTGACTCGCTTTCATAACCCTCAATGTAAGCAGGTTTGCCCAGAAACTTATTCAGGTTCCCATAAAGAAGGCTGCAATCTGCACCGGTATCCACCAGTGCCAGCACCTGCACCCACCGTACATTGGTGGGGGACCAGTGGATCGCTAATTCCACACGTGGCCTCCAATCGTCCAGTGTCCCCCCAAACTGGGCATCCCGGCAAGTTCCCTAATGAAACAGAAACAGCTCTACATGTCCTCCTGGCTACAGCAAGTAGTCTTTGAGGTAAAGCACCCGGGTGGGACCGGGTGGCGCAGCAGTGTATTTCTCCCCCTTGGGCATTTTCTGGAATTGCTGCTCCAGAGACAACTGTCTCCACAAAGCTAAGAGTACTTCATTGGGCTGCTTATTGATTTTCTCTTGGTCAACCCCAGCCAAAATCAAATCTATCCATATCCATGAGCGTGTCACTTGTTGAGGCCCCCTTTTCTCCCATGGGGGCCCCCCTGTGGGTGGGGCATCTTCCCCTTCTTTAAGGCGCAGACCCCTTGGTCCTGCCAGTGGCCTTCTGCTTCCCTGAGAGCCGCCATAGCAGTGGTCACTTCATGTATGTGTCACCCTACATACAGGGTGGGGACAGCAGCTAGGGAGTCAAAGGCACTCAGGGGTGCAGAACCCAACACGAGACTCCTCATGTGGGAGTGAAATGTTCATCATCTGGCCTCTGAGTATTCAGGTCAAACATAGCCTGCTGCATACCCATCTCCCGGATGACTTGCCCCAAATCACCATATGACTGTCATTTACTCACAGTTTCAGGTATTTCACCAGTGTCGTCCCACATAGTCCGTATGGCTGCCCATAGCCACTCAATCAGGGTGTGGTCACCTTGCCCTTGTGCCAACTGCCCGCTCACCTGCAACCAACGTGCTGCATCCCTCAGAGACTGGAAGTGTAGTTCTTCTAGTGCAGTCAAAAATGCCCATCCAACTCTGCAAGCAAAGACTCGTTCATTCTCAGTGCTCTGTGCTTCCAGCTGCTTCAGCATATTCTCCATGCTTGCTGGGGACCCATCTACCTCTGCCCATGTTTCCCTCAGAGCCCATCCAAGCAGCACAGCTGCCACCGTGTATCACAACCCATGTTGTGGATACATGGCCGACCCAGAATCAGTGGGGACCAAAGGTTCACTTACCTCAGGATCCTATTTGATATGCCAATTCTCAGGTTCTAACTGAGGTCCAAGGGGAGTTGGTGGGTGAGTGGCAGGTAGCAGGAAAAACACTCGAGGAATTGTAGACAGTTTTGACATGGCTTTACTCTCTCTCTGGGTGCAAGTGAGCCATATGTGCAGCATTACCGGGGTAATTATACCTTTTACAGACAATAGTGGCTTTGAGCCAAGCATGAGCTCACATAGGTCATCATCTAATGCTCCTCACGTGGTGTGGTTGCATAATGTGCAGAGCTGTGCACCTGCACCACAAACCCGCTGAGTCATGCTGCACCAGAAGGCCACCTCAGCCTGCTCCTGACTGAAGCGCAGCCATTTCCCTCACAGCTATGTAAATACCTTGATTTAAAAATAGTTTATTACTAACAACAACAACAAAAAAGCTAATGATCACCTGAGCCTTCAGCAAATAATAATCTTCTTATTAGCGAGGGGTTTAGCCTCAATGTCGACATCTGCTGACTGGTCAGGGTAATGATTGCTGAATGTTGGGTTGTCTGTGGCAGTTCTTTAAAATAAGACAATGAAGTTTGCCACATTGGTCGACTCTTCCCTTCATGTAAGATTTCTCTAGCATAAAATGCAGTTTGATAGAATTTTAGCCACAGTAGAACTACTTTCAAAATTTGAATCAATTCTCTCAAACCCTGCTGCTGCTTTATCTACTAAGTTTCTGTAATACTCTAAATCTTTTGTTGTCATTTCAACAATGTTCACAGCATCTTCACCAAGAGTAGATTCCTCCTCCAGAAGCCACTTACTTTGTTAGCCATAAGAAGCAACTGCTCATCCGTTCAAGTTTTATCATGACATTGCAGCAATTCAGTCACATCTGCAGTCTCCACTTCTAATTAGAGATCTCTTGCTCGTTCCACAACATCTGTGATACTTCCTCCACTGAAGTTTTGAACTCATTAAAGTCATCCATGAGGGTTGGAATTCACTTCTTCCAAATTCTTGTTAATGTTGATATTTTGACCTCTTCCCATGAATCAAGAATATTCTTCCCTCCTGCCCCCATATTTTTCACACGTGAACCAGGCATGGGCACAGACTAAAAGCCAAGCTGGGATAAACAAGGAATTGCTGTATCTCTGGCTGATATGAGATGGGCACCACCAACCAGATGCTGCTCTACCCAGGTCAGAGATAATGAATATTCCTAATGGCATCTAGAATGGTAAATCCTTTCCAGAAGGTTTTCTATTTACTTTGCCCAGATGCATCAAGGAAACACTGTGTATGGCAGGTATAGCCTTACAAAATGTATTTCTTAATTAAAAAGACTTTAAAATTGATGCATTTTCAAGTTGAAAGACTTGATCCGTGGGCTACAGAATAGCTATGGTTTTGGCAAGCATGAAAACACATTCGTCTCTTTGTACATCTCCATCACAGCTCTTGGATGGCTAGGTGCACTGTCAATGAGCAGTAATATTTTGAAAGGAGTATTTTTTTCTGAGCAGTAGGTCTCTCAACGGTGAGCTTAAAATAGTCAGCAAATCATGCTGCAAACAGATGTGCTATCCTCTAGGCTTTGTTATTCCATTTATAGAGCACAGGCAGAGTAGATTTAGCATAATTCTTAAGGGCCCTAGGATTTTTGGAATGGTTAATGACCATTGGCTTCAACCTAAAATCACCAACTGCATTAGCCTCTAACAAGAGAATCAGTGGGTCCTTTGAAGCTTTGAAGTTGAACATTGACTTCTCCTCTAACTGTGAAAGTCCTAAATGGCATCTTCTAATAGATAGATAGCTGTTTCAACTACACTGAAAATCTGTTGTTTGTTCATCAATGATCTTAGCTAGATCTTCTAGATAACTTGCTGCAGCTTCTCCATCAGAACTTACTGCTTCACTTCGCACTTTTGTGGAGATGGCTTCTTTTCTTAAACCTCATGAACCACCTTGCGTTACTAGGGTCATACTTTTCTTCTGCAGCTTCCTCACCTCTCTCAGCCTTCAGAGAATTGAAGAGAGTTAGGGCCTTGCTCTGAATTAGACTTTATTTTAAGGAAATGTGGCTGGTTTGATCTTCTCCCAAGACCACTAAAACTGTTTATCAGCAAAAACGCTATTTCACAGCAAAAAGGCTGTTTTGCTTTCTTATCATTTGTGTATTAACTGAAGTAGCACTTTTAATTTGCTTCAATAACTTTTCCTTTACATTCACAACTTGGCTACCTGTTCAGCAGAAGAAGCCTAGCTGTCAGCCTGACATGTCTTCCTTACTAAGCTTAATTATTTCTAGCTTTTGATTTGAATTGAGACATGTGATTCTTTCTTTCACCTGAACACTTAAAGGCCATTGAAGTAATCTTGGCCTAATTTGAATATTGTTGTGTCTTAGGGGAGAGGGAGAGAGATGGGGGAACAGCCGGATTCTGTGGTAGTCAGAACACACACAACATTTATCGATTGAATTTGCCTTTTTATATGGACATGTGTTGTGGCACCCCAAAACAGTTACAGTAGAAACTTACAAGGTCACTGATCACGGATCACTATATTAGATGCAATAATAATGAAAAAATTTGAAATATTGCAAGAATTACCAAAATGTGACACAGAGACATGAAGTGAGCACATGCTGTGGGAAAAAATGGCACCCATAGACTTGCTGAATGCAGGGTTGTCGCAAACCTTCCATTTGTAAAAAACACAATATCTGTGAAGAGCAAAAAAACAAGGTGTGCCTATACATTTATTCCTGCACTGGGGAAATGGGAGATCAAGGAATGTTTACCAGAGGATGACATATAACATGAATCTCTTTTATCATCTAAAGTAAAAAAAAAAAATTATGTCATACGTATTATTCCTATTTGTAGAAGAGGAAGAGACTGAAGTACAGAAAGTCTATACATTCTATTTAAGGCCATATAATATTAGCATACATTTATATGGCTCTCACTCTACAAGAGCTTTATGTTCATTCATGTAACCCTCACAGCCACCCTATAATACAGATGCTTTTGTCATTTCAGTTTTATAAAAAAACTGAGCCCTGTGGAAATAAATAAATAGAAAGAAGGGAAAAAAATTGAGCCCTGTGGGGTTAAGTAATTTGTCCAAGGTCATATACCAAGGTCGTATATGAAAAGGCAATGCTGGGATTTGAACCAAGGCAGATAGACTGTAGTGTCTATGTGCTTAACAACTATGGCATACACTGTCTCTTCCTCCCAGTTGGTCATTAAGCCTGATTGAAAACTCAGCAGTCAGACTGGAGAACCCATACAGTTAAGTAACAGAATGCCATTGGCATTTTAGATAGATTGTTTTGACTGTAGTAAAAGCAATAGCCTTAGGTGGGACTCATCTGGAGGTGGGAAGACCAAATAGAGGAAAGCATGGATGTTAGTCTGATCTAGGCTAATTGCAATAAATATGCAAGAGATATTTAGCAAATTGAACAATCAACTTTCTGATACATGAACACTGAGTGTGATTCAAAGGAGAAGGTCAGGAATCATGCGTTGTTTGATTGACTAGGTGAAAAGTTGATATTTGGATGGAGAATACAAGAAAGAGACAATTTAGGGGAAAAGATGATGAGTTTTTTATTCTCCATAAATTTTGTATTTGAAATGACCATAGGGTGCTCATATGAAGATATACAGAAGGCTGTGGAATTTGTGAACTGAGCTCAGGAGAAATATCTGGGCTGAGAAATAGAGAAAAGGACTAATCAGGGAAATGTAGGATTGCTAAGCATGTTTAAATACACAGTGGAGTTTTTAGATCAAAATATATCGTGGCACAAATGTACACAGTTGTGGTGTGTGCATTGGGAGGCAGAGAGAGGGAGGGAGACGAAGAGAGGAGAAAACTTTTTGTAAGCCATGGGAGAAGACAACAGATTATTAATACTTAAAAGTTTATAAGTTTTTCCCTGTTTCCTGCTGAAATTAAGGGTCAACTTTTGGTGCTGTTTTATATATTGGGAAGGGAGGAAACTTGAAAGAAGCCAATAAAGCTAGAATCACTTAGATTAGGAAGTTTTAGGGAGAATACAATCAATCTTCAAAGACCGGAAAAGTGGATGTATTGAAGGAAAAAGTCATATTGGGTGGAGGTTAGAGTTTGAGGAAGATTTGGGTGTGTGAAATAAGATCCTGGGACAGCTGCCCTGCTGCACAATTAAGGGAGAAGACAAAAGAATCTAATTATCTTTTACTATGCATTAGCAATGAAATCCTACATTAGTGTGTCTTCATGAGAGTTCAGTAATGATTTAAGTTGTTTTTCATTTTTCAATGCTTTTTACATATAGGCTCCTGTTTTATTTGTTTTTAATATGAACATAGTTTTATGAGTCTGGCCAAAAGCCATCTTGGCTGTATATGGGTTACTTCTAATTTCTCTAGCAGTACTCCAGCAACCTATGTATAGTATTAGAGAAAGCAGACATTTGCATTCATTTATAGGAGTTTCATAACCTAGTGAGATAGAGAGAGTTGATAGTATTGACAAGTAGTGTTCAAGATAATGGAGATATATACATCATCTCAAAGTGCACATGTAGATGTGGACCATGAAATACCAGAAGAAATTTAAGAATTTGAGATAAATATGAAAGATGCAAAATGTTAACATTGTTGGATCATCAAAAATAGTTTACAGGCTCAGTAGGATGGCTCATACCTGTAATCCCATCACTTTGGGAGGCCTGTGTGCTACAATCGCTTAAGTCCAGGAGTTTGAGACCAGCCTGAGCAGCATCGTGAGACCTCGTCGAAGAAGAAGAAGAAGAAGAAGAGGAAGAGGAAGAGGAAATAATAATAATTTACAGATGAAGAAATTAAGACTGAGAGAGGTTAGGTCTGTTGTCTAAGGTCACACACAACTAGCAATTATAGTAGCTGGTATTCAAACCTGATCAGTCTGGCTTCAAAGTGCATTCTCTTTCTAGTATGCTTTTGAACTGCCTAGAAAAATAATGGCAATTTCTGAAATGCAACAGTATGATTCACGATAGTTGCTAGGCATTGTACCAATCAGAATTCTTAGTTTTAAACAATAGAAGCCAGCTTTGTCTAAAGCAGAAAAGGAATATTTGGTAATATCATAGAGCCTGCAGAATCTATAGGGGTGCTGGAGAACTAGACTTAAGAAACTGGTAGAAATGAAGAAATGTAAAGCCTTGCCAATGTCATACCATAGGAAAATTCTGCTTTGAAGTCTGCTGCTGATACAGTTTCCACTGGACAGCCTTTAACATGCCACTGGGTTCTGCTGCCTTTGGACACTCAATGAAGTTTGCTGTTTCAGTGTGACTGCAGCTTCCATGAGTAACCTCTGCCTCACTCTCACAAAATTCAAAGTCCTGGGTGGGAGCATTAGTTTGGTTAACAAAGGTCACATGACTGATGATCAATAATCAAATAACTAGGAAAGGGACTATCCCAGACTTTTTGAGATTTCCCAAAATAAGGAATGTGTTCAGACACTGGGCAGCCATCAACAGATGTCATTTACACGTATGTGTGCATGTAGACACACGCACACACACACACACACAAACACACATATTCGATGATTGCTTCCCAATGCCAGAGATTTCTCATTAAATTTGTAACAGCATGGTGTTCAAATACTTTTCTTTTTAAATTTATGTTTTACTACCTAAAACATAATGTTTCATGGTCTAAAGGAAGAAAAACACAAGTAAAGGAAAAGAAATAAAAAACTTTTAAAATTCCAGTACCTGATTAAAATAACAGCAACATTTTTGTGTATATTCTTCCAGGCTTTGTTCAATACATAGAAATGAACTCTTTAGCCAAAGTAGGATGATAGTACATATTATAGTAAGACCATCTTTTTAAAATTCACAATGTATTCTAAACATCTTTCTATGGCAATTTTAGAAGGACATACTATTCTGTTCCATGGATGTATCATAATTTGTTCAAAAATCACAGATTATTGAACAGTTAGATTATTTACAGTTTTCTGTCATAAACAATGCTTTGATAAAAAACTATTTTTTCATACCCTTTTCACATTATTGAATTACTTCAGAAAAATAAATTGCTAGAAATGCACTTGCCTCATCAAAATATAACACATTTTAAAGGCTTTCAGTTGTTACCCTCAATTTACTCTTTCAAAACATTATATTAATATATGCATAAATATGTACATTTTGCAATATGGATATTACAAGTTTTTGTGTTGCAAATTTGATAGATGAAAAGTAGGATTTCATTTCTTTTATTTGTTCAACGAGTATTTTTGAGACTCTGCTATATGCTTAACACAGACCTCATTTCTGGAGATAGACAAGCTGCTTACTTTTGTGGAGTTTACATTCTAGGGAGTATGTGAGGTGGCAGGCTGGGGACAAAGAACAAGTTCAGGAAAGAGAAAAAAATGCTTAAATAAATTTGAAAAGAATGGGAGGATTAAGAGGATAATTCAAATGGCGACTTAGATTGGGGTGGAGAGAGAGAGAAGTGTTTCAAGAAAAGAGGGAAAGCTTTTCTTTTGATTTTAATATCTAAATCAGGCAAAGATAATACAAGAAAGAAAAATTATAGGACAGTCTCACATGGAAACTTCAATGCAGAAACCCTAAATAAAATATTGATAAATCAAAGTGAGTATTTGTGTTGGTATCTCCTGACCACGTAGGCTTTATTTGAGGAATTCAAAAGTAGTTCAATGTTTTTCTTTTTAAAAATCTATCAGTGTAATCTGTAACATTGAACAAATTAAAGGAGAAAAACCATATGGTCATCCCAATAGATACATTAAAAGCATTCAATAAAATTGAACAATAATTATAAGAAAAACTCTTGGCACATTAGGAATAGGAGGACAATTTCTTAATATGATAAAAAGCATTTACAAAAAATAAGAAAAAAATTTTAAGAATAGCAAGCATGCCACTTTAAAGTATGAAAGAAAAGGTTGCCTGTTGTCATGCAAACTTGTCAACATTATACTAGAAGTTCTACCCAATGCAGTAATAAAAAGAGAAAGAAGAGAAATAAAAAGATTGACTAGCAAGACAGAACTGTTATTATTTGCGCATGTTACTATTACCTATATAGAGTTAATAGAAAATGTCTGCAAATATGCTGGACTAAAAATCAGTTTATAAAATAATAACTCCCCTATCAATAATCAATTGATAAAAAGAAAAAGCTTACCAGTAATAATAACAAAAACTATAGAATAACAAGGATAAACATAACAGGCACTTATAAACAATTTATCTGAAGAAAACTATAAAACTTTGCTGAGAGACATTTAAACAAATAGACTGGTAAGACTAACACAATAAAACGCAAATTTCTTCCACATTAGTCTGTAAATAGAATCCTAGGTTTTCAGGTGTTTTATTTTGTTGATTAAAAGAAAAGCAGAAGAACAGATACTTATTAAGTGATTACTGTATGTCACACTCTACGGAGGCTGTTGGGATACAGCAAAGAATGAAACAAGCTTTATCAGGAATCATTGAAGATCTTCTAACATTTAATATGAATGCTATAAAGAACAAAAAACATGCAGGAGGTATGAGGCTAATGTTGATTTGGGAGGTGATGAGGGGTGTGAGTAGAGGGAGGAGATATGCAGGCTTTGACATCTATCCGTTTAAAAATGTATTGTAAGGGGCATTGAGACCACAGTAGACAGATAAAAAAAGAATAAAACAGACAAATAGATCTGGGTATAGAGAAAGTTACAGTTTGTTTTAGGTGGCATTTTAAATTAAAACAGAGAAAGGATGAATTGTTAATAGAGTTGTGAAAATTGGGATGAAATGAGTACACTAATCTCACAATTTAGCATCAGCCCAAATAAAGATCAGATGGGTTAAAGATGTTTACATTTTTCTAATTTTACTTTTCCTTATGAAATATTTTGAACATATTAAAAAGTACAGAAAATAATGACATTGGTAACTTTTAATCGAATCACATCACATTAATTCTGATTTCTCTCCCATTTTTTTAAAGAAATAATATATTACTGACAAAGCTAAAGCCCATCTCCATTCCTTCCCCTTGCCTCCCTCTCCAGAGGTAACCATTATTCTGAAATCAATGTGTTCATATGAATGGATATTTTTATATTTTTACTAAATATATGTTATTGTTAAATAATACATAGTGTTCTTTAACTTTTTAAACTTTTATGTTTGTTTGCTTTTACGTGTAGATCTTTAATCCACCTGGTTTTGTTTTATGTATGACTTGGGGTAGGTATCTAATTTGATTTTTTCCATATGAATTACCTATCCTGCAGAAGAATCAATCTTATTCCCACTGATTCTAATAATACATCTTCTGTTTTATTTATTCCAGGTCTATATATTTTTAGTTGCTATTGTGAACGATTTTTTTTCTTTTCTCTCTCGCTCTCTTTTCTTTTTTTTCTTTTTTTTTTTTTTTGAGACAGGTTCTCACTTTTTCACCCAGGCTGGAGTGCACTGGTGTGATCTCATCTCACTTTGACCTCTGCCTTCCAGGCTCAATCAATTCTCCCACCTTGGCCTCCTGAGTAGCTGAGACCACAGGCATGCACCACCAAGCCCAGCTAGTTTTTGTATTTTTTTGTAAAGCTGTAGTTTCACCATATTGCCCAGGCTGGTCATGAACTCTGAGGCTCAAGGGATCTGCCCGCCTTGGCCTTCCAAAGTGCTGGAATCAGCTGGGATGAGTGCTCCCTTCCTTCTTTTTCCTTTTGTATAGCCTGGTCTCCCTAAACTGCCCCCAGGCTGGTCTTGAATTCCTAATCTCACGCAATCCCCCCACCCAGGCCTCCCAAAGTGCTGGGATTACAGGCTTGAACCACAGCATCCCCCTCTCTTTTCTTTCTGTTATACTTTATGTTATCTTTCTATTTATATGAGGCTCTCCTTGTTTTTATTTTTATTGTATACTTATTTTTTAACAGCCCATCTTTTCTGAACTTTATTAATTTAGTTGGTAGGCTTAGTTTTTTTCATGTCGATTATTTTGTCATTAGTAGTTAATGGTAATTCTAAATCTTTGCCATTATTTATATATAATATCATGTTCTTATCTGGTTGTGTTGGCTAATTCTTACAGAATTATGTTAAATAAATGTACCATGTACAGTTTCTAATTTGCTATGAGTATTTTAAATAAAAGTGGATATTGGACATTATAAAAAAACTTGAGTCATTTATAGTGATAGTCATTTGGTTTTTCTTTTTTAACCTATTATTATAATGATATATTTTATTAAATTTCCCAACATAGACATTTCATATTCTCCATTTAAACTCTACTTCATCATGTATTTGGTTTGCTTATTTTTAAAATCTAATATCCATAGAGGTGGGTGGGGATTTCTATTTTTATTTACTTATTTTTATTTATCTTTCATGCCTAGTACAATGCTTGGCATAGAATAGACACTCAGTAAATATTAAATGAATGAATGAATAAGTGAGATTGGTTTTCAGGTTTTATTTTGTCTTGTCATTGTCATGTTTTATAGTAAACTATACTAGTTTGATAAATGAAATTAAAGACTTTCTTTCTCTAAGATCATTGAAAGTATTGAAATATCACTAGAATCATTTGTTGTATTTGTCTTTAAAAGGGAGCAGCTTTTGTTGTAGTTGTTCAAGTCTACCTTTCTGGTTTTTGTTTCATTTATTTGTATTTATCTTTATTCACCTCTTATTTTTCTCTGTTTCTTTAGGTTCATATTTTCTTTCTTTTCAGTTTTCTTGAATTCAATGCTTGGTTTATATATTTTAATTTTTTTTAATAAGTAGGTTTAATGCTCCAAGTTCTCTTCTCAGATCAATCCTAAAAAGTCTGTAATTTATTATAGATTTCTTCTTCAATAGAAGTATTAAAGGATACATAGGAGATAAACTTTTAAGTCCTTGTATTTCTAGAAAATTTTTATTTTACTTTTATATTTGAGAACTGCTTTCCCTAGACATGAGTACAAAATCATTTTTCTCACAACTTTTAAGACATTATTTCATTTCCTACAGTGATGTTGATCACATAATTGATATGTGACTTTGTTTCTTTCTGGAAGCCTTTAAGATCTCCTTATCTAGTGGTCCAAAACTTTATACAGATATATCTAATTGTGAGTTTTTTTAGTTTTTTTTTTTTTTTTTTAGTGTAGTATACTTGGCATACAAGGACTTTCAGTCTGAAGTCTTATACCAGTTTTTATCTTTAAAAATTATCTTCTATTATATCTACTGTTATTTTTTCCTCTATATTTCCCTACATATTCTCATTCTGGGATTCCTTTTAGTTGAATGTCAACCCTTTAGAATCAATCTTCTCTCTTAACTTTCTCATATTTTACCCACCCAGTGCTAATATTCTACTTACTGAAGATTTTTTCTTAACTTAGATTTCCAAATCACTTATTGTATTTAGCAATCATATATTTAATTTCCAAGACCTCTTTCATATTTCATGCTTATTCTTTCTTTAAGATATCCTCCTCTTGTTCATGGATGCAGTGTATTATAAGTTTTTCAAAGTTATTTTTATATTCTATAAATATTCTCCCTTTTCTCAGTGTCTTTCTTTTTCTCTTCACTGTGGTAGATGTGATTCATGTGTCTGATGCCTGTTTACTTTTTAAATAAAGTAATAGGAAAGCTCTGATTTCTCTATGTGTGAACAGACTACTGTATTGGCTGGCTTGTCTTGAATAAGGTATGCATGACATTAGCCTTATATTTTGCAAGCCCTAAATATCAAAGGTGATTTTTCTGATAGAGAGCATTGCCTCTCATTCTAGCCATCCTTGTTCTCAGCAAAATTGTGTTCAATATTTTAGAGAGGAAACTTCCATTACTTCCTTTCTATTTTTTTTTTTTTTTTAGACAGTCTAACCCTGTCACCCAGACTGGAGTGCAGTGTCAACATCTCGGCTCACTGCAACATCAGCCTCCAGGGTTCAAGCGATTCTCCTGCCTCAGCCTCCCGAATAACTGGGATTACAGGCATGCACCACCACGCCTGGCTAATTTTTGTATTTTTAGTAGAGATGGGGTTTCACCATGTTGGCCAGGCTGGTCTCAAACTCCTGACCTCAAGCAATCCTCCTGCCTTGGCCTTTCAAAGTGCTGGCATTACAGGTGTCAGCCGCCATGTTTGGCCTCACAACTTTGTCTTCTGACTTTCAATTTTTTTTTTGTTTTCAGCCTCATAGGTCTCTACTAAAGTTCATTGCATTTTGTGTTTCCAATTGCCCTACCTTTCTTGGATTCCTACAGCAGGTTGGCCCCCTCCTCACCTTTCATCTCTTCCTCTACTGCTCTTTATCACTCAGCACTCCTTCTGATTTCCTTCTTTCTGAAATTTTTTAATTCCCTTTTCCACAAACAGATAGCCCTTTATTCCTTTTCCTTATTGTTTGTTTTCCCTTTAAAAATGTATTTATTTACCAGTATTTTAAGGAGATCTCAAGAGAGAAAAGATAGGAATATGAGCTCAGCCTCATATCTCATATCTCACTCTCATAACAAAGACCCATCTTAAGAGCTTTTGCTGCCTTTATTTTTATTGTTAAAATATGGAGTCTGTAATTGATGTTTCAGTTTCCTCTTTGGAGAAAGATTTTTAGGCTCTAGGTAATTTTATTTATACTCTTTATCTTTAGTCAGTTGTTTCTAGTTTTATTACCCTATGATTAGTGGCTGGACTATAAAATTTTTAATTTTTGGAGTTCAGTGATGTTTTCTTTGTAGTACGGAATATAATCAATTTTGGTAAACATTCTGTGGACATTTGAAGAGAATTATGTTCTCTGTTATATACAAGGTTAGGTACATCTGTTATATTGGTTAATTCTTTAATTTACTTTTGAATGTTTGATTTATAAATGACTTTTTGAAAGAAGTTATTTTCCCAAGACAATTATTCCATGTTTTCGTGCTCTCCTTGAGTTTCAAATAGCTTTTATTTCATATTTCAGCACTGTGTTATTTCTAGTATAAAAGTTCATAAAGTACATATCCTCATTGTGGAGCTTTACTTTTTAATCAGTTTAAAATAATTTGTTTTGCCTATATAATAAATTTTTCTCTAATTTCCGTCGGTATGCTATTGATATTTCCACTCTGCCTTTTATTATTTCTACTTTTTTAATTGACAAAAATTGTATATATTTATGGTTTTGAAATATGTATACATTGTGAATTGGCTAAATCAAGCTAGTTAGCATATGCATTACCTCCATTTTTACCATTTTTTGTGATGAGAACACTTAATATCTACTCAGCAATTGTCATTGTGTCATAATACAAAATACATTTGTATTAACCACAGTTGCCATATTATACAATAGGTCCCTTGAACTTATTTCTCCTGTCCAGCTGAAATTCTGTACCCATCGACCAGCGTCTGCCCCATCCCTTCCTCCCCTCCAGTCTGTGGTAACCACATTCTATGCTCCACTACTATGAGTTTGACTTTTTTAGATTCCACATGTAAATAAGATCATGCAGTATTTGTCTTTCTGTGCCTAGCTTATTTCACTTAACATAATTCCTCCAGGTTCATCCATGTTTTCAGAAGTAACAGGATTTCCTTCATTTTAAGGCTGAGTAGTATTGTCTTATGTGTTCATACACCATGTTTTCTTTACCTATTCATCTGCTGATGGACACTGAGGTTGATTCCATATCTTGGCTATTAGTTGTATAATGCTACAGTGATCATTGGAATGCAGATATATCTTTGAAAGACTATTTCATTTCCTCTGGATAATACCCACTAGTGGGATCATGTACTAGTTCTGTTTTTAAGTTTTTTGAGGAACTTCCATACTGTTTTCCATAATGACTATACTAATTAACATTTCTACTTACAGTGTACAAACATTCTCATTTCTCTACATCCTTGTCAATACTTATTTTTTTTGTTTGTTTTTCGTAATAGCTATTCTAACAAGTGTGTAGTGATACTTCATTGCGGCTTTAATTTTCATTTCCTCGATGATTAGTGATGTTGAGCATTTTTCCATATACCTATTCACCATTTGTATGTCTTCGTTTGAGAAATGTCTATTCAGGTCCTTTGCGCACTTTTTAATCAAGTTGTTTGTTTGCCTCTTGTTGAGTTCTTTGTGTTCTGTATATATTTTAGATATTAACTCCTTATTAATTGTATGGTTCACATATATTTTCTTCCATTCTATAGATTGTCTCTTCACTCTATTGTTTCTTTTGCTGTACAGAAGTGCTTTTTAGTTTGATATAATTCCATTTATCTATTTTTACTTTTTGTTGTCTGTGCTTTCTGTTTGCATTTGCCTGATATATCTTTATGTATCTGTGTATTTTCCTTCACTTTTAACCTTTGCCTAGAAATTGCTAAGGTGCAAGTATTATAAGCAACACAAAATTACATTTTGTTTCCTAGACTGGGCTAAAAGTCATGTATTTCTAGACAAAGTACAGAATGATCTCACTGTTACTGGGAGAAAAATACACATTTGTTCTCATTTTATGCTGTTTTTTACACTTCTTTTTAGAAAACATTTCTCTTTGTTTCTTTATTGTCTCATTTCCTATTGAAATCACCTTTGCAAAAATTATGACAGTGAGAGAAATCTGACAGAGCTGACTCCATCATGCTTCCAACCTCACAAAATGCCTTTGCTCATTCCTGGGCATCGGTCAAACTGTGCACTAACTATGGGAGGAATTTAGTTTACAGTTTAACTTTAAAACAAAGATGATTAACAGTCTCTTCCTGAAGCTAACCCCCACTTTGCTTGGGGATTGAAACTGCATTTGTAAGATTAACAAATTGTCCACACAGTTAAAACTATGGTTCACGAGTCATGTAGCTGGAGGTCACAAGATTTGTAACTCCCCACTTGCTCCTTATATAACATCATTATGCTAAAACTTAAGACTGGTGTTTGGGGTATTTTTCAGACCTTGCATTCTGATGGACGAGCTGGCACCACCCTGACCAGTAACCCCTACCAAGAAACTGACTCAGCACGTTGTGACACCCCCACCCTCAGGAATAGAAACAGTGCAAGAATACAGCTTCAACCCCCTGTGATTTCATCCCCAACCCAACCAATCAGCATTCCACATTCTCTAGCCTTCTACCCACCAAACTCCTTGAAAAACTCTAGACACCAAATTCTCCCTGGAGGCAGACTTGACAATTATCTCCTGTCTTGCCACTGGACTGCCTTGTGATAATTAAACTCTGTCTTTGCTTCAGCACTTCTGCTGTTCTCATTATATTGGCATTTTTGGGCAGCAGGGAAGAACCTAGTTGGGCAGTAACAATACATGTACTGGAAAGTGAGAGTGCTTGGATTTTCCTGTGTCCCTTATTGATATGGGAAGTCCACTTTCATCATTTGTACTTTTCAATGCTAGATAATTCTTCTTTGCTATTTTATTTTTCTCTTCCTTTATTCTGCTATACCCATCAAGTTTTTCTTAATCTTTTTTTATTCTAGTTCTCATTTGGAAGTTTTTCTTAATCTTTTTTTATTCTAGTTCTCATTTGGAAGTTTTTTATCATATTCTTATTCTACTAGTGCTTCATTTCTCTTTCAGTGTCAAGAGCAAAATTGTCTAATACTTTTCCATGTGTACAATGAGACATTTAACATAATTTTACTTTCTACTATTCTTATCCTCACCCCCGACACCACCACACACACAAACCACTTTTTTTAAATTATACTCTAAGTTCTGGGGTACACATGCAGAACGTGCAGTTTTGTTACATAGGTATAGACGTGCCATGGTGGTTTGCTGCACCCATCAACCCATCACCTACATTAGGTATTTCTCCTAATGTTATCCCTCCCCAGCCCCCCACCCCATGACAGGCCCCGGTCACACATCACTTTTTTGTTGAAATAATCTCGACCTTTAACTTTAGATTAATGTTGCTTATCATTTTACACTATGTAAATTTTGTTATTTGAACTTAGGCATAACCCGATATTTTACTGATTTTGTTGCTAATACTCCTTCACAGTTAAAACATTTTGCATTTCTTAAAGTCCTAATTTTTTAAGAAGGATGGTAAAATTTCTGGGTCCTTGCATGACTGTGAAATACTTAGTGTCTTTGGAAATGAATGATAAAGCTAGGCTGGGTTTAGAATTCTGTTACAAAAACCTTTTACACTTAAAAATTAATTGAGTTTTTTTGTTTTTTTTTTTTTTGAGACAGAGTTTCGCTCTTGTTGCTGAGGCTGGAGTGCAATGGCACGATCTCAGCTCACTGCAACCTCCGCCTTCTGGGTTTAAGCAATTCTCCTGCCTCAGCCTCTCAAGTAGCTGGGATTATAGGCGCATGCCACCACACCTGACTAATTTTTGTATTTTTAGTAGAGACGGGGTTTCACCATGTTAGCCAGACTGGTCTCGAACTCCTCAGGTGTTGACCTCAAGTGATCCACCCACCTTGGCCTCCCAGAGTGTTGAGATTACAGGCGTGAGCCACTGTGCCTGGCGTCTTTTCTTACATATGGTTGTGTGAGAGAAATCTGATGTTAATCTGATTATTTTTTGTTTTAGATTATATGTTTTCTTATGCAACCTATATAAGATTTTGTTTTCCTTTATTTTTTAAAATCGTTAAATTCATAAGCATCACTAGGTTATTCTAGGTCTCTTTTTTGACTGCATTTGAATAAGCCCTTTGAGTATGAAAATTTATATTTTTCTTTATTTCAGGAAAATTCCCAGTATTATTTCTTTGATTATTGCTTCCCCTCCATCCATTATCTTCTTACCTTCTCACATTTTTATTATTGGACTCCTGGATTTGTCTCTCTATTAATCAGTGTTCTCCAGAGAAACAAAATTAGTGGGATGTATGTAGAGAGAGGGATTTATTTTAAGGAATTATCTCACGGGAGTGTGGGGTGGGCAAGTCTAACCTATAGAGCAGGCCAGCAGGCTGGAAATTTCTGCAGGAGGGAATATTAAAGTCTTGTATCCCAAAGCAGTCTAGGGAGAATTTCTTCACAGGAGACCTCACTCTTTTCTCTAAATACCTTCAAATGATTGGATGAGGCTCATCTACTTTATGAGAGTAATATGCTTTACTTAAAGTCTACTGATTTAGACTTTAATCACATCTAAAAATTACCTTCACAGCAACATTTAGACTGGTGTTTGAGCAAGGAACTGTGCACCATAGCCTAGCTGAGTTGACATATAAAGTTAACCATCACAGCCTGGAAATCACTTTTTTTTTTTGGCTCATTTTTCTTTATTATCTTAATATGAGTTCTAGGAGAATTTGTCAAAACAGTCTTCTAAAATCACCTGTTTGCTGCTTACAGCATTTATTGCTGTTATAAATTTGTTAATTTTTATTTAAAATTAATATTTTCTGATTTTATATTTTTCATAGTTTCAAAGTTTTCTCATATTTTATTGAAAAATGTTTTAATTTGAAATGTTTCTTGGATATTTATATTTTTGTTTTGACTATTTTTTAACGTTGGCCAAGCATGGTAGCTCATGTCTGTATTCCCAGCACTTTGGGAGTCCGAGACAGGAGGATCACCTGATGCCAGGAGTTTGAGACTAGCCTAGACACCAAAGCAAGACCCTGTCTCTACCAAAAAACAAACAAACAAAAAGTTAGCCAAATGTAATGGTGCATGCCCATAGTCCTAGCTACTTGGGGGGCTGAGGCAGGAGAATAGCCTGAGCCTGGGAGTTGAAAGCTGCAGTAAGCTATGATCATGCCACTGCACTCCACCCTAAGTGACAGAGTAAGACCCTATCTAAAATAAATAAATAAAAATAGAACTTTATTTAGAAAAATGTCAAAGCTATAGAATATTTGTAAACATACTATAATTAATATTATTGCACTTTTCACTTAATCAATTACCATTTGCCATATTTGGTTTATCTCTCACCATACACATGCATCACTTATTTTGCTAAACCATTTAAGAGTAAATTGCAGACCTTATGAACTTTTACTTAAATACTTAAGCATGTATCTCTGAACAAGGCCATTCATTTACATTATTTAAAATAGTTGTGAAATTCAGAAAATTTAACATTGATACAACATTAATATAGTCTATGTTTAAATTTTTCCAATTATTTCAGTAATGTCGTTTTATAGCAATTTTTTCTCCAATCTGGGTTCCACTTGAGAGTTATATATTGCCTTTAGTTATCATGTAAGAGATTTTTTTGAAGTAATTTTCTCTTTCTTGACATAAATCTGTTTCACAAAGAAATATTTGATATGACTCCTTAGAATGTGCCTCTTGTTTTTATATGTATGATGACTTTTCTTTATTGCCTTTAAAGAGCAGTTCTGCATGTTTCCAGTATCAGGATTTCAGAATTTGGGGTAAAAATTCTATTGGTTCTTATTTGAAAAAATTAAACCCAAAGGAGAAGAGAAAGTTTGTATTTTCTCTCATTTTGGTATACTCAGTTGTGGTACTTTTGGCTCTGTGGCTTCGGAGAACAATTGTGTCTCCCTTTCTTCAACATCACTCTTAAGGGGCAATTTTCAGTTGTCCACAGTATTTATAGAGTGTTATGTTAAGTCCAGTTGAGAATGCAAAGTTTGCAATCTGGTTCAATGAATAATAATTATTAAGGTAAGGCAAGTAAAGAGCATTTGTGAGACATGGTAAGAAGTTATGGAAAGTTCAAAGCCTTGAGTCTAAAAATATGAATAATATTTGGGTAATAGGGGAAACATTCCTGTTAAGAGTTTAGGAAAAATATAGATCATTAAAATTTGGTCTTAGTGTAACACTAGGAAGCATATCGTAGAACTAATTCCTTTATTTAAATTTTACCAGAGAAAACACAAACTTAAATATGTAGCTAATATATATTATGCATATAATACAAACAAATATAAATATATGTATAAATTGTTCAGTTCATCCAAGCTGTCAAATATTTCCTAAAGTTGTTTTTAATATTCTGTAACTTATTTTTTAGAGACAGGGTCTTGCTCTGTTGCCCAAGCTAGTCTCTTGAACTCTTTGCCTCAAGCAATGTAGTTTTTTATCTCTACTTTACCTATAATTACTCAAGCAATGTAGTTTTTTGTGTCTACTTTATCTGTATTATGTACTCTTTTTCATTGATAATGCCTCTATTTGTGCTCGTTTTGTTTTCTTCATCAGTCCTGCTAGAGATTGGTCTATATTATCATTATTGTCCTCTTTCTTCTTTCTTATATTTACTCTTATTTCTTTTCTCACTTATTTGATTGGGACATAATTGATTAGCTTTTGATCTTTGTTTTTCTAATTTAATAAATGAATTGAAGAAATGCTTTTTATTGTTTTAACTAACTGAACTGTTTTTAATATCAGGTTAATTAAGATATAATTTGCATAAAGTCAGATCACCTTCTTAGTGTATAGTTCTGAGTTTTGGCTTGTGTACACATTCATTGAACCACCACCATAGTCAAGATACAGAACCTCCATCACCCACGAAAATTTTCTTGGGTCCCTTTGTAATAAACCCCTCTCCCAACCTCAGCCCTTGGCAACCAATGATTTGTTTTCTGTCGCTGTAGTTTTGCTTTTTCCGGAATGTCATATAAACATAATTACACCATATGTAGCCTTTGATTCTATCTTCTTTCACTTAATATCATGTATTTGAAGTTCATTCGTATTGTTATTATGATATTGTGATCAGAGGGCTGGTTTATATGACTCTGATTGTTTGGCACTTATTTGGGCTTATTTTTGAGGTTTAGTGTGTGATCTGTTTTCATGAATGTTCTGTGTGTGTTTGAAAGGAATGCTCTATTTTTTAGTGCAGGGTTGTATATATATAGCTGATAGAGAGGCTTGTTGATTGTGTTGTTCAAATCTATTTTTACTAATTTTTATCCTTATTATCCATCAGGTTTTGATGGGGTTGTGTATGTGTATGTGAAAGTCTCTCACTGTGTCTGTGGATTTTTCCATTTCTTTGGGTAATTTGTATGTTTTTAAGTATATTAAGGCCATCATTTTAAAAATCTTC
This sequence comes from Homo sapiens, assembly GCF_000001405.40. Taxonomy (NCBI): domain Eukaryota; kingdom Metazoa; phylum Chordata; class Mammalia; order Primates; family Hominidae; genus Homo; species Homo sapiens. The sequence goes on from NC_000002.12 coordinate 148,278,559, forward strand.
ATACTTTTTTTAATGCCACTTTTTTCTCATTTAATGTTTATTTGCCCTAAATTCTATTTTTTAAAATTTATTTGTTTTAGTCAGGGTTCTCCGGAGACAGAACCAGTAGGATATATCTAGAGGTATGTGAAAAGGGATTTATTAGGGGAATTGGCTCACTTGATTATGGAGGCAGAGAAATCCCATGATAGACTGCAAGCTAGAGAACCAGGAAAGCCAAAATACTCACTCAGTCCAAGTATGAAGGCCTCAGAACCAAAGAAGCTGATAGTGTAATTCTCAGTCTAAGGCTGAAGGCCTGAGAGCCCAGTAGGCCACTGGTGTCAGTCCTGGAGTTCAAAGGTTGGAGAACCTGGAGTTCTGAAGTCCCAAGTCAGGAGAAGGGTGTCATGACTCCAGGAGAGAAGTGGTGAAAAATTGCCCTTCCTGCAGTTTTTTGTTCCATATGGTCCCCCAAGCGATTGGATGGTGCCCACCCATGTTGAGGGTGTATCTTTTCCATTCATTCCACCAACTCACATGCCAGTCTCCTCTGGGAACACCATCACAAACACACTGGGGCAGCCTAGTCATTCTAATCAAAAGCAGAGCCATCAAGGTGTGGTAGCTCACACCTGTAATCCCAACACTGGGAGGCAGGGTGGGAGGATCACTTGAGGCCAGGAGTTCAAGACCAACCTGGGCAACATAGTGAGATCCCATTTCTTAAAAAATGAGAAAAGTTATCTGGGTGTGGTGGCATGAGCCTATAGTCCTAGATACTAGGAAGGTCAAGTCGGCAGGATCGTTTAAGCACAGGAGTTCGAGGGTGCAGTGAGCTATGATTGCACAACTGCACTACAGCCTGGGCAACAAGCAAGACCTTGTCTCTGTAAAAAATAAAAATTAAGCAAAACCATCTGAGTTTCTCTTTCAGCAGAAAAAGGTCAGGCACAGTGCCTACTGAAACATTGAGAGTAATTAATGCTTTACCAGCTGTCTGAGTATCCCTTCATCCAGTCAAGATGACACCCACAATCCACTATCACAGTATTGCTTTGCTACTTTTCTTTTGGCAAGTTTTTGCTTAGAATATCATTTCCATTCTTCTTTATTTTCATTTAGCTCTAGATGTATCTCATCTGAACATCATAAAGCTGGATTTATTTTTCTAATTCCATTCTGATAGTACTTTTCCTTTAAGAAGTTAATTTAATTTATTATAGTTACACATTTGGACTCTTTCTTTTTTAAGAAGTGTATCTCTCTGTGTTGGACAGGTGGAGTGCAGTGGCTATTCACAGGTGCAGTCATAGTACACTGCAGCCTCAAACTCCATGGGCTCAAGTGATCCTCCCGCCTCAACCTCCCAAGTAGCTGGGACTAGAGGCACATACCACCACACCTGGCTTTGGGCTCATTTTAACCATTTTATTGTGGTTTTGTTTAGTTAATTTTTCTTCACTTTTTTTCCTCCTTTCATGACATCTGTTGAACTGATATTTCTCTTGGTTGCTTCTGCTTTTTTCTTTTTTCTCGTTTCCTGGTTTGGAAGCTATAGATTTGTATTTCTATTCTTTTAAAAACTAACTGCAAAAAAAAAAAAAAAAAAACAAAAAGAAAAAACAGAAAAAAAATTAACCATAAATTTTAATACATATGTGGACTATATTATTTTTCTCACAGAGTCTAAAATTGCTTAGTGTATCCTTTAGTTAAACAATCCATGCACATTTTATCTGCTGCCTTTCTTTACAGGTTTTTCTAGAATTTAATTCACCTTTGTATTTTGTCGATTTTATTTTAAAAGGGACAGTAGTTTGATTTCCATCCTCACAGTTACTTCTTATGTCCCTTGCCTTCCCTCAATGTTCAGTTTTCTTTTTTTCTGCTTTTTGTTTCATTTTTCTTGAGGTGGGTATCTCACTCTGTCACCCAGGCTGAAGTGCAGTGGCACGATCACAGCTCACTGCAGCCTTGATCATGCAGGCTCAAGTCATCCTTCCACCTCAGCCTCCCAAGTAGCTGGGACCTCAGGTGTGCGCTCCCTGCCCAGCTTATTTTTGTATTTTTGGTAGAGAGGGGTTTTGCCATGTTGCCCAGGCGGGCCTCAAACTCCTGCACTCAAGTGATCCACCCATCTCAGCCTCCCAAAGTGCTGGGTTTACAGGCATGAGCCACCATGCCTGGCCTAAAGTTGTTTTCTTGCTGTGAAAAGTAGTTATTTCAGCAAACACATGTAGCAGGTAAACTAGTTTTTGTAGTTCTGAAAATATCTTTATTTTGGCCTCTCTACTTAATGGTAATTTAGCTAATTTTAAGTGTTTAGGCTACAGTTGTTTTTCCCTCAGCAATTTGAAGATCAGACTCTAATATCTTTCAGTGTCTTTTGAGAGAAAAGAAATCTACCATTTAACTATTGTTACTTTACAGATCATCTTTTTCTAACCTCTGATAGCATTAAGACTTCTTATTAACCTTGATTTTGTCCTTGCTCTGTGGTGGATTGAGGTGTGGATATATTTTTATGGATTTTATCTTCTCTGGATTTGATGATAATGATGCTTTTAATCCAAGGTATTCTACTGATCTTTAGTACTGGGGATATCTTAGACATTATCTGTGCAAACATTCTTATCTGCTATGCCTTCTACATTCTATTTCTAAAATTTGTTCTATGTTAAGGCCTGTATCCTACATGACTTAACGCTGTTTCAGTTTTCATCTCTCTGTATCTCTGTATCACATTCTCAGTGAATTGCTCAATCCTGTTTTCCAGTTTACTAGGTGCCTTTTCTACTATATCCTTTTCTAATATATCCTGTCTACTAGGATTTTCTTTTTCAAATAATAAATTTCAATTTCCAAGAATTTTTGTCATTTTTTTGCATACACCAATTCTTATATTTTCTTTTAATTTTGTTTTCAAAATTTCTTATTCTTTTTTAAGATATTTCTTCCTTTACTTCTGTATGAATCTTCAACTCTTATTTTTATGTTTTCTGATTGCTCGTAAATATATTTCCTCTTGCATTTTTTTAAAAATTCATGATCTTTCAATTGTGTTTGTTGACTTTCTTAGCTTTAGTTTTCCTCGAGTGCTTTGGAAATCATTTTGCAGGTTCATCCTGACAGTGACTTTTTTTTCTCTCTATCTCTATCTCCTTTTGTTTATCCCAATCATTGAGTCAGTGGGTGGATTGACTTAAGTTTTAGGAACTAGGATTTGTCTCCCTCCTCTGTCTTCCTGGTTTTATATAATGGTTTATCCCCAAAAGCTTTTTTCAGCTTCTTTTCACAGTTTGGGGAATCACATCTTAGTGCCATTTTTATGCACTGAGACTTGCTCAAGTCTTTTGCCAGGTGGTTCTTTTTAATCTCCACTAACATGCAATATTAACCCTTGGTGCATCTAACCGCTACCAGACTTGGAGCTTAACTATTCTATAATGTCAGCCTTGCGTACTACTTTGTGTTCTGTTACACAGTGACTTTTATTTTTAGTACAGCAGTATCTTGATTTTTTTCTTTACTATATCTCTTATACTTTATTCTGTTATACTTTTTCAATAATATATCTTATACTTTATCCGTAATTGCTGAGTACTGTTTTAAATAGAGAAGTCTCTAAAGTGTCTATTGCCAGTACCATCTTGACCAGGAATCCTGTCAAAACAGTTTGCACATACATATTTGGAAATTAGGATATGAATCTTTGTCAAACCCATCACCTTTGGCATATATATGATTCATTCTATTTATTTGTTTAATGCATAGATATGCTACAGCAAAACAAGAATAAGAATACCAATTCATGTTCTCATAGCATGACTTCCAGACTCAAATTGGATGGATTCAAATCCTGGCGTTGATATTTGCTTCCTGCATGACTCATCTTTTCAAAACCTTTGTTTCCTCATCTGTATTTATGACATGTCTGCTTCATAGACATCTTGAAAGGATTAAATGAAATCTCAAAAACTCATGTTGTTCAAGGTTAAAAAAATATGTATATATATAATGTGTGTGTGTGTATATATATATATAATTAGCATAGCATTATGAACCCTCAATGAATGTTAGCCATTACTCGTACAGTGGAGTTGCATGATATACATGTTTAATGTATAAATTCACTTATAGCCATTCTCTTTTGTAAAATACATGTAGCATAATAATTTTAGATATATATATTACTATATATGATATATTAATTTGTACTTTAAAGTGAAATATTATCAAGGTTATTAAACCTCCCCCACACTGTATTTCTGTACTTTCTGGGTCATTTAAATGATCCTCAAAAGTAATTTTGACTACTGGATATTTTTTCCATATAGACTGACTTTTAAGACTTAACCGCCCCCCCCCATCAGATGCAATTATTAGTTGTCTCTATACTAGTCAGTGTATTTTTATGTCAGACATTGGCAATTATATAAAGCTGTATAGTACTGAAAAATCATTTGGGCTCAAAATCAGAAGATCTAGGTTCAAGTAGAGCCTATTCCATTATCCAGTCACCTCACCTTACTGGATGTCCATTTCTTCATTTATATAACAGGGATGATAACACTCCCATATCAGAGTGTTTGTAAAGATTAAATGCAATAAGGTATTCTCAGAATGCAATGTATAAACTGTAAATCACTAGTTATGTAGCTATGATTGCATGTCTTTGTTACAGCAGCTTCCTTCCATATTTACATAGTCATATGGAAAGTAGGTAACCCTGAGCCTGGTAAGTTATTGGCTCTCCAATCCATCCTGCACTTTTTGCAGTAAGGAAAAACTCTCAGTGAGAGTTTTATGAATAATGATTCTTTGGGGATGGGAGTGAAGTAGATCTACATTATCTGGTATTTGTATTTGACAGCTTTAACTGCTAAGACCAAAGTATTAGAATCCTTTGCTCTTTCAGTCACAGCATACAATATTTAGCTTTTAGCAATTCGAAGCAGAAATAGGCAGCCTAATTTTAGTCCTGAGGTAAGTAGAGCAGGCATTTCCTTTCCTATTCAGATAAAATTATTACATACCTGTAGTGGAATATGCCAAACAAATCTAAGAACTAAACCATTTATCCTTCACCGATGGCCCTATTTTAAGTCATAAGAAATGTGCTCTCCACTGAAGTCCCCAATACAGTTTTCTCCTCCTCCTTCACATGCAAATATAGTCAAAAGTACTCTAAATGGACCATGCCTATGCTTACTAGAGCAGTGCAAAGGTTAGTAAAATTTCTGCCTCTGGGAGCCCAGAAAAAAAGTTAGCACACAAACATAGCTACACTCAGCTGCTTTATAACCCCTTTCTTTCTTAACTATCTTCCTAACTTGCCACATTTGATTCAAAAATCAAAGCAATATTAGAAGGTATACACTGAGTATCCTGCTTTTTACCCTGTTCTGCCCCTGCTGCCACCTACTTCTGGTCACTGTTATCACTAGTTTCTTTTGTACTCTTCTGATGTTTGTTTATATAAACACAAATATAACAACATAGATACAGATGTATTTTCCCTCTTCTTACACAAATAGTAGCATACTATATATACTATTTTGCCCTTGCTTTTTTTACTGAACAATTTATAATGGAGTTTGGGGGATTAAATCTCCACACATAGAGAGCTTCTTCATTTCTCTTTAGAGTTACATCTTATTACATCAGAAGTATATGCCATTGCTTATTTAACCAGCCCCTAATAAAGGAACACTTTTTTTTTCAATCTTTTGCTGATGTAAAACCAGCACAGTAAATAACCTTAAATATTGTCATTTTGTATATGCACAGGATATCTCTAAGATACATTTCCAAAGGTATGATTACTAAGTCAAAGAGTGAATGCATTTTTTAAGAATTTTCTATTGTTTCAATCACCTCAAAACAACAGATAATGAGGGCATCAGGGAAGAAACCTGGTGGCCGTGTTGTGCAGGCAGACTTGCATTTGATCTGGGTTTCATCCTTGACTCGGTGCATGGCTTTGGGCAAGTTACCCCCCTCTCATGGAGCCTTGGTATCACCCTCTATCAAAAGTGGGGGCTGGTCCCTATCTCAATGGAGTAATTTTAAAATTAGATGAGATAATGGATGGGTCTTGTCTGTACTGCCACCTTTAAGATGCTGGGATTATTAACCAAAAAATGGCTACAAACCTGATGCCAGGCTCACTTGCTTTTTTTCTTTCTTTTTTGTTTTTAAATTATCAGATTGTAAAATGACTTTTTCTTTCTTTTGATATACTGTTCTATCAATTTTAATATATACATAGATTTGTGTAACTACTCAAAATCAGAATACAAAATAGTAAATATATTTTTAATTTGGATAGATACTGGCTAGTTGCTCTCCATAAAGGTTGTCTACCCACACTGCAATCTCCCCAACAATATATGAGTGACTTTTTCCTCACAGCCTTGGCAAATGATAGAGTTGGTTATTTGTTTGCTGTCTGTTATTACAGCCTTCCCCATGCAGAAACACAGCAGCAGACTAGGACCACAGCAGCTGTCTGGTCCTTCTTCTCTTGATTAAAGTTGCTTAAGCCACAAATCTGAAGCTTAAAAAGAAAAATAAATACTAAACAGAGGCCTCATATTTTAATCATATTTCAAAGCAGCTACTTTCCCCATCTGCTCTTCAAACAAATAGACAGCTTAGTTTACAGCACTCTGTTATTCTGAATAACTACAGGATAACTGAAAGAGAGTAGAAAAAGTCATCTCAATAACAGTTATATACCTTTGACATTGTAACTGTTCTTGTTCACAAGTTCCAGTGCACATACAACCTCTTTTTTCTCATCTGCCTCCTACCTAATGTCAAAACATTTAGAAATGAAAGCTGATTAAGATCTTATCATGTTGAATTTTGTAAACATACTAAAAGAAAGAATGATATTAATAGAATTGACATGAGAAAATTGGACTAAACTGTTTGAAGCATCTACTTTCTTTATTGTAGATGTAAATTAGCCACACTTAAGCAAAATACTAGATTTACAAATCTCTTGCTTATGGGCCAGATTCAGCCAACAGGCTTGTATTGCTGGCCTCACATAATCTTTCAAAATTAGGAAATATTACATTGAAATCCAGATTTTACTGAATAATGAGAATATCTGAGAATAATATGCCCATATTACCACATCACCACTGTTAGTTGGGGCATATACTCTAATTCACCGCATTTTTTTTTAAATAGAGGCAAGCTGTCACCATGTTGCCTAGGCTGGTCTGGAACTCCTGAGCTCAAGCCATCCACCCACCTTGGCCTCCCAAAGTGCCGGGATTACAGGTGTGAGCCACTGTGCCTGGCCTCTAATTCATTACATTTTATATACATTAAATTTTATACAATTTATATTTTATTAAAGTGATTTTATATATCACTTTATTCATTTTTTTCTACTTATTCTTCAGAATAGTGTATAATTTAGTAAAAATTTTAATAAGTTTTAATAGCAGCAAACACTTCTTTTTATTATTAGTATTTTCAGGTATCCATATAGTATTTAGCAATAATATTTCAATTGAAAGAATTTACAGTTATTGTGACTAAAGTGTTTGTTCTTACAGACATGAAATTTGCCGTTTGACTTAGTAGCTGGATTATTTGTCGTAAAGCTTTTTTTCCGTTTTAATACATGAACATATTTTCTTACCATTTTGGGAAACTATTACTGATTTTTATTACTTTCTGAATGATTCTTGCTTTTTATCATCTGATATGTTTATTATTTCATATTCATGTGTCATTTGACTTTTAATATATAACTTTTAAAAACTTTAGTTGCTGAGAAATGTTGTGCCAAGATTCATCAGAGTTATGATCATATTTCTTCTGCATTTCGATCCCCAAGCTGACAAGCAGACTTACCCACATAACTTCTCATTGATTTTAATTTTCCAGACTTTGCAGACCTCTGTTTATTTAGGTAAGCTGTAATCACTTTCTCACCCTACTCCCAACACTCTCTGCATTAAAATCTATCATTTTATAAACAAAGATTGCAGATGATGGACATTGCTTTCTTTGTTAACACTGTACCAGAACTATGAATGCTTTGTTTATGAGCATAATTAATTAAGGTTTGCCTCTGTTTTAAAAAAGGTATTCATTTAATCTGGTTGTACTCATCTTTAAGAAGCAAAATTATTTTTATGACTTGTCCTTTATTATTATTGTTGTTATTATCTAAGAATAATTGCAGCCAGGACAAGGAATCTAAATGAAATAGGAACCAAAGACTTATGGTAAAGGAACCGAAGATTTACGGTAAATAGTAGTGGTAAGTTTAGTGGTACTTACTTATGAAAAATATTTAACTGAAGGCTATTTAAATGCAAGTTATAATTTTAACTGTGGGAATAATGAAGAGCAACAAAGGATAAATGACATTTTAATTTTCATTTTTGTAATTTCTAACAAAGTTGATGATAATGCAATATGACATCTTGCCCTTATTGTTTAACTTTCTATTATGGTTTTTAAAGAGGTTCTTTTTTTTGCAAAAATATTCAGAGGGTTTTTTAGTTTTCCTAAAGGTGTCTCCAATCATTAATGTTTATATTATTCTCCTTTCAAACACCCATTGAATCATGATCCTTGCTTATTTTCTTTATTTCACTTTTAACTGCTCTTACTGGCTTTATTTGTGATGTGAGTAGTGTTCAAATATAATTTTCATTAACTCCATGAAATCCCACATCTTTCCCAATATTGACTTTGCATAAATTTGCATATTTTATAGGCATAGATAGCATCCCAAAAGAACAGATATGTTTACACCATCCATTGATTAGAGAAAGACTGACCAACAAAATTTTTGTCATGAAGAGTAAGAACAGGCTCTTTAGTGTTGAGTAGGGAAGGATATTTGAGAAGGGCCCAATTAGTGAGTGACGGATGTATCAGTCAGTTTTTTATGCTGATAGAACTTTTGATTCGGTAATGAATATTCAGGTAATGGGACCTCTCCTGTTTTGCCTTCAGTCTTCTGAATATGGGAATTGTCTTAGTCCATTTTGTGTTGCTACAACAGAATACCACAGATTGCATAATTTATAAAGAAAAACGTATTTCTCATGATCCTGCAGACTGGGAAGTCCAAGGTCAAGGGGCCTGCATCTGGTGAGGACCTACTTGCCACATCATCCCAATGGCCAAAAGCAGAAGAGCAATAGAGCATGTGTATAAGATAAAGCAAGAGAGTGTCAAACTCACTTTTATAACAAACTCACTCTCACAATAATGAAACCATCCTATGATAACAACATTAATTCATTTATGAGGGCAGACCCCTCATAACCTAATCCCCTCTTGAAACTCCGAGTTCTCAACGTTGTTGCTTTGGGGATTACATTTGCAACACATGAACTTTGGGGGACGCACTCACTCTGTAGCATAAATGGTGAATTTCTGGATAGCAAGATTCTGAAGCTTTTCAAGTTTATTATAGATGCTTTCTCATCTCAAATAACTCATCAACTATGGCATTTTTAAGTACCATGAAAGTGTGTGTTATGTTGGTGTGTGTGTGTGTGTATAAACTTCAGACCTTTAAAAAAGTGATTTCTGGCCGGGCGCGGTGGCTCACGCCTGTAATCCCAGCACTTTGGGAGGCCGAGGCAGGCGGATCACGAGGTCAGGAGATCGAGACCATCCCGGCTAAAACGGTGAAACCCCGTCTCTACTAAAAATACAAAAAATTAGCCGGGCGTAGTGGCGGGCGCCTGTAGTCCCAGCTACTTGGGAGGCTGAGGCAGGAGAATGGCGTGAACCCGGGAGGCGGAGCTTGCAGTGAGCTGAGATCCCGCCACTGCACTCCAGCCTGGGCGACAGAGCGAGACTCCGTCTCAAAAAAAAAAAAAAAGTGATTTCTTCACAGTAATAAGATGGAAATTCATTCATAGCATTGACTAAAGTGGGCTGTCAGTGTTGATAGTGACATTTATTTAGCATGAATCATATTCTACTATCCAAGAAAGATATTTTGCTATGTCATAGCTATGAACCAAAATAACCTAGCACCAATTGATTCACCATTATATTATAATAGATGCTCCAAAAACAAATACATACCAAGGGAAAAAAGCCCTGATGATCGGACTAGGTGAACCATAGGCGCAATTAACTACTCAATGCAGGGATGTGTGTAGTGTAATCTATCACAGGATACTTTGTTAGAAGTGAGTCTTGAAGTAGAAATAATAAAAAGGAAAAAAAAACAGTAATCTAAAAATGAAATGATTAAATGTTATAAACACTAAACAGAATTTTTTAAAGGCTGATGCTTATGGTTCAAAGACTTTTGAATAAAGACCAAGACTTCTCTGTGTTTTCTATATATTTAGTAAGTTCTGTAATTAATAAATCTTATCCTAACCTGCAGTGATCTCTCTCATCTGAATTTCCAGAGGCTTCATTTTTCTGTATTATATCTTTGACAAATAATTGTGTGCAGCCCCTGAACAACTCTTCTGCTGTTTTCTGAAACTATTTATTTAAATCTCATATGGTTATTGAACTACTTTTGTGCTTACAACTTCCCAAACTATAAGCTTCATTCATTACAGTGCCTTGCTAATAGTAGAAATGGCCAAAATAGTTTTTTTATTTGACTCAAGCTGATACAAACTCATTCTTTTCCAGAATAAGAAAAATTAACTTTACTCCTATTTAATGTATAGTACATTTATCTCATAAAACTATGAAAAGCCTTTATAGCAAATATTAACAATTTCTCCTTTTATGAAACTTATAATGAGTTCTTCTTTCAATATAGGTTATGAGTGGAATTTTAGATTCATGTTCTAGAGATTTGGTAAGACAATAGTGCTCATGAGGGTAAGATGACATGTTTGTGAAAATGTCCAGAAACAGGTATTTTCTTACACTGTGGGTAGGTATAATTAGTACAACTCTTGGAAAACAACTAATCAATGTATGTATGCCATACCTACATTGGATACCTACCAAGGTATGCCATACCTACATAAAGGATAAAAAGATATTATTATCCTTTAACTCAGTTTCTAAAAATCTATTCTAAGGAAGCATAGAAAAACATTATCCACAGGAAACTTTACAACATTATTTATAATAACTAAATTTGGAAACAACCTAAATGGTAAACAGTAGTGAATGGTAATGAACAAATTACAATGCAATAATGTGATGTTATTATACATAATGTTTTCAAATAATTTGCTTAAATGTGGACTTTCTCTTTAAAAATGTACGAAATTTAGTATTGTCACTGCTTTGCAAAAAATGAAAGCAGAAAAAAAGTCTGAGAAAGTTATGCAAAAATATCAACAGTTTAATAGTTATTTGGTTTTAATTAATAGGACTGTTTTCATTCTTACACTTATTTGTATTCTCTAATAATCCTATAAAAATCATGTATTACCTTTTTTTTTTTTTTTTTTTGAGATGGAGTCTCACTGTGTCATCCAGGCTGGAGTGCAGTAGCACGATCTTAGCTCACTGCAACCTCTACCTCCTGAACTCAAGCAATTATCCTGCCTCAGCCTCCCAAGTAGCTGGGATTACAGGTGCCCACCACCACGCCCAGCTAATTTTTTTGTATTTTTAGTAGAGACAGTGTTTCACCACGTTGGCCAGGCTGATCTCGAATGCCTGACCTCAGGTGACCTACCTGCCTCAGCCTCCCAAAGTCCTGGGATTATAGGCGTGAGTCACCGCACCCAGCCAAAAATCATGTATTACTCTTTAAATGAATGGAAAAGTAAGCTGCTTTTTTTAAATCTAAGAAACAATAAACACTTAAATCATTCTCTTGGGAAAGATATATTTCTTAAGAATGAGATTCCTGCCTTTTAACAGGCTTTAGGAATTTCAGAATAAAAAAGGAGAACTAGAGCAGTTTAAAGTACTGAGCAACTGATCAAATTCACCATTGCACTGCCATGACTCTCCTTCTAGATGAAAGAGGCCTCAATACAAATTATCAGTCTCCTCATACCTTAACTGACCTTCTGTTGACTTATCAATACTAAGCCATTTAGTGACTGTATGTTTTCAGTGTGACAACCCCAGGCTCTTCCCCGCTCATTATTTTCTCTTCATTTCCTTTTACTCAGTACAGTATTTTTAATGTTCATCAATATTGTAGCGTGTATCAGTAATTTTTTCATTTCTATTACCAAATAATATTTCAGTTACGAATATACCACATTTCATTTTATTCATCAATTGATGAATATTTGAGTAGTTTCTACTTTTTAGCTATAGTGAATAATAATACTATAAATATTTGTGCACAAGTTTTTATGTGAATATATATTTTCATTGCTCTTTGTTATATAACTAGGCATAGAATTACTGACTTATATGTTAACTTTATGTTTAACATTTGAGAGACTGTCAGGCTCTTTTCCAAAACAGCTGCACCATTTACAGTCCTACCAAGAGTGTATGAGGGTTTCAGTTTCTCCACATCTTTGTCAATACATGCTTTATTTATCTGTCATGTCTATTCCATTGATCTGTATGTGTCTATCTTTTTGTAGGTACCACACTATTTTAATTACTGTAGCTTTGATAAGTTTGAAATAAGGAAGTAAGAGTCCTCCAATTTTGTTCCTGTTTTTTAAAATGGTGTGTTTGGGCTATTCTACGTTCTATCAATTTCCATGTGAATTTTAAGATCAACGTACCAATTTTAGCAACAAAGCTAGCTGGGAGTTTGATAGAGATTACATTGAATCAGTAGATCAATTTGGAGAATTTTATCATCTTAACAATAGTAGAGCTCAGATCCATGAACATGAGATGTCTTTGTATTCACTTAAGTCTTTAATTTCTTTCACTGATATTTTGTAGTTTTTAAAATGTAACTTCACTCTTCCTTTGTTAAATCTATTCACAAATATTTTAATTTTTTAATAGAATTTTCGATGGAATTGTTTTATTATTTCATTTCAGATTATTCATTGCCCGTTTAGAGAAAATAACCAATTTTTTTTAACACTGAGTCAATGGCAAAAGAAAATGATTGATTTTTGTATATTGATCTTGTATCCTGCAATTTTGCTGAACTTGTTAATTTTTGTAGATTTTTAGAACATTCCTTTGGCTTTCTTATATATAAAATCAGTGTAATGCCTATCAAAATACCAATGACATCCTTCACAGAAATAGAAAAAACAATCCTAAAATGTATATGGAATCACAAAAAATCCAAAATAACCAAAGCTGCTCTAAGCAAAAGAACAAAACTGGAGGAATCACATTACCTGACTTCAAATATACTACAGAGTTGTACTAACTGAAAACAGCATGGTCCTGGCATAAAAACAGACACATAGACCAATGGAACAGAATGAGAACCTAGAAACAAATCCATACACATACAGTGAACTCATTTTTGACAAAAGTGCCAGAAGCATACGCTGAGGGAAAAGAGTCTTTTCAATAATTGGTGCTGGGAAAACTCAATAATCGTATGCAAAAGAATGAAACTAGACCCCTATCTCTCACCATAAACAAAAACCAAATCAAAATACATTAAAGACTTACATTTAAGACCTCAAACTATGAAATTACTACAAGAAAACATTGGAGTAGCTGTCTAAGATATTGATCTGGGCAAATATTTCTTGAGCAACACCCCATGAGCACAGGCAGCCAAAGCAAAAATGGACAAGTGGGATCACATTAAGTTAAAAAGCCTCTGCACAGCAAAGGAAACAGTCAAGAAAGTGAAGAGACAACAAACAGAATGGGAGAAAATATTTGCAAACTACCTATCTGACAAAGGATTAATAACCAGAATATGTAAGGAGCTCATAAACTTTACAGGAAAAATAATCTAACAATACAATTTAAAAATGGGCAAAAGATTTGATTCAATAGACATTTCTCAAAAGAAGACATACAAATAGCAAACAGGTATATGAAAGGGTGTTCAATCATTAATCATCAGAAATGCAAATCGAGACTACAATGAGATATCCTCTCACCCCAATTAAAATGACTTATATCCAAAAGATAGGTAATAACAAATGCTAGCTAGGATGTGGAAAAAAGGGAACCCTCCTACAATGTTGGTGGGAGTGCAAGTTAGTACAGCCACTATGGACAACAGTCTGGAGGTTCCTTTAAAAACTAAAAATAGAGCTACCATATGATCCAGCAGTCTCACTGCTGAGTATATACCCAAAAGAAAGGAAATCAGCATATTGAAGATATATCTGTGCACTCCCAAGTTTGTTGCAGCACTGTTTACAGTAGCTAGAGATTCGGGAGCAAGCTAAGTGTTCATCAGCAGATGAATGGATAAAGAAAATGTGGTACCTATACACAACAGAGTACCATTCAGCCATAAAAAAAAAAAAGGGATCCAATCATTTGCAACAACATGGATGGAACTGGAGATCATTATGCTAAGTGCAATAAGCCAGGCACAGAAAGACAAACAAATGCATGCTCCCACTCATTTGCTGAATTAAACAAAACAATTGGCCAGGTGAAGTGTGGCTTATGCCTCTAATCCCAACACTTTGAGAAGCCAAGGTCAGGTGGATCACTTGAGCCCAGGAGTTCGAGACCAGCCTGAGCAACGTAGTGAAACCTTGCCTCAAAAAAAAAAAAAAAAAAAAAAAATTAGCCAGGCATGGTGGCATGTGTCTGTAGTCCCAACTCCCTGGGAGGCTATGGTTGCCAGAGGCTGGGAAGGGTAGTAGGGGATTGGGGGAGAGGTGGGGATGGCTAATGGGTACAAAAACTATAAAGAAGGAATAAAATCTACTATTGTATTGTGATAGCATAATAGAGTGACTATAGTTAATAATAATTTAATTGTATATTTTAAACTTAAAGAATGTAATGGTTTATATCTCAAAGGATAAATGCCAGAGGGGATGGATACCCCAGTCTCCATGATGTGTTTATTTCACATTGCATGCCTGTATCAAAACATCTCATGTACCCCGTAAATATATATACCCACTATGTACCTACAATAATTTTTTTGAAAAAGATCATATCATCTTAAATCGAGATAGTCTTACCTCTATCTTAGTCTTTCCCAATCTGTGTGCCTTTTATTTCATTTTCTTGTCTAGTTTCCTTGGCTAGAACTTCCAGTATAATGTTGAATAGAAGTGGCAAGACTAGATATTTTTTGTTCCTGATCTGGGGGGAAAACATGCATTCATTCACCATTAAGTATGATATGAACTGTGGATTTTCCATAAATGTCCTTTAATGGTTGAGGAAGTGCCCTTCTACTTCTTGTTTGTTGAATATTTTTAAAATGAAGAGGTGTTAGATTTTGTCACATGCTTATTCTGTGCTCCTTTATGTTATTCTTGCCAGATATATTTCTATATGTGATAGACCCACAGTACTTTCTCCTACAATATTGTTTTATACAATTTCTTTTTCGATCAATTAAGGAAAGAAGGAGACGAAATATGCATTCATTGTATCTTTTATAATTACTTTTACTTGTGCTGCCCCTTTTTGTTTTCTTCATGTCAGATTATCAACTGGATTCTTGAAGAAGTTTCTTTAGTACTTCTTGTCATGTAGGTAGATGTGTTATCAATAAATTTTCTCAGTTTCAGTTTCCTTGGAACATACTTATTTCACGTTCCTTTTTGAAATAGAGTTTGGCCAGAATGAAGTTTTTTTTTTTTTTTTTTTTTTTTTTTTTTTTTTTTTTTTTTTTTTGAGACAGAGTCTTGCTCTGTCATTCAGGCTGGAGTGCAGTGGCGTGATCTCGGCTCACTGCAAGCTCTGCCTCCCGGGTTCACGCCATTCTCCTGCCTCAGCCTCCCGAGTAGCTGGGACTACAGGTGCCCGCCACCACGCCCGGCTAATTTTTTGTATTTTTAGTAGAGACAGGGTTTCACTGTGTTAGCCAGGATGGTCTTGATCTCCTGACCTCGTGATCCGCCTGCCTCGGCCTCCCAAAGTGCTGGGATTACAGTTTTTTTTTTTTTTTTTTTTGAGATAGAGCTGGCTCCATCGCCCAGGCTGGAGTGCAGCCGTGCGATCTCAGCTCACTGCAACCTCCACCTCCCGGGTTCAAGGGATTCTCGTGCCTCAGCCTCCCGAGTAGCTGATATTACAGCCACACACCACCATGCCCAGATGATTTTTTTTGTATTTTTAGTAGAGACAGGCTTTCACTATGTTGCCCAAGCTGGTCTCGAACTGCTGGCCTCCAGTGATCTGCACACCTCTGCCTCCCAAAGTGCTGGGATTACAGGCGTGAGCCACCACGTCCAGCCCAGAATTAAAATTTTTAAGTAACAAGTTTTGGGGTTTTGTTTTCCTGTCAGCACTTTGTTTATATCATCCCTCTGCCTTCTGGTCTCCATTGTTTCTGATGAGAAATCAGCCACTGATCTTTTTGAGCTTCCCTTGTATGTGAGAAATTATTTTTCTCTTACTGCGTTCAAGATTTTCTCTCCCTTGAACATTTTCACTTTGATGTGTCTGAGTATGATTCTCTCTGTCTTCATCCTACTTGGAATTTGTTGAGCTTCTTCAGTAGGTCAGTTAGTGAATTTTCATCAAATTTTGGAAGTTTCCAGCCATTATTTCTTTGAATATTATTTTGTTTCTTTCTCACATCTCCTTCTGGTACCCCTCTTATGCATATGCTGCTGTGTTTCATGGTGTCCCACATTTCTCTGAGGCTCTGTTATTTACTACATTCTTTTTTCTCTGTGCTTTCATTACATAATCTCTATCAATCTATCATCGTGTTCACTGATTCTTTATTCTGCCAACTGAAATCTATGATTGAGCCCCTCTAGTGAATTTCTTATTTCATTGTATTATATATTTATTTCCATCCGGAATTTCCACTTTTCTCTTTTTTTAAAATCCATAGTCTTTGCTTCATTGTGTGCAAAGAGTATTAGTGGCTTTTGAGCTCCCTGCATTTCTATTTCTTGAAAAATTGGTGTTTGATTCTCTCCAAAATAACCAGAGAAGAAATAAGGCAGAAAGTATGTCCTCCTCACAGTCTCCACTCAGTTCCGAGACTAATAGAAAAGAACGTAACCAGACTCTGAGTTCTTTGCAATATCTGAGGTCAATACATAGAATTCTTCAGTAATTCGTGCATTCATTTTTTTCTACAGTGTCATCAAAGGACAAGCAGAAATCTTGATTCTTAACTATTACAATATAATGGCCTCACCTGTGACCACTTCCGCAGTAAATCATAATAGCAACAAGGTCGTGTATTCTGTCTGGATTGGTTGCATCCCCTGAAGTGTTACACAGACAAAGTTCTAAACGAAAAACTACCTAGTAAGAAAGTTTCGTACATCAGTGAATTTAATCCATATATTTAAATATTTTCAGATGTAGAGCTCTAATCATGGGTGGTTTTTAAACTTTCATTCATTTATGTGCTTCCTATTTGCTACAACACTCTTCACAGTAATGTCTGTATTCACTTCATAGAGTTTCTGTGTTGCTAAAAACCCTTAAACAGTGAATAACTGATATATTTTGTTCTATATCACAGGAAGTTCTTTAAAATCTTCATCTTTGCTCTTATAGTTTCACAAGTAATACATCTGGTTTCATTAGTTAATGTTTTCTGAAAAATTTCATGAACCTACATTGGGTCTGGTGTGCTGTTGTTATTTTCATTATCAATATTACCATTTGGTAAGTGACCATTTTGTTTATCCTGCCTTCTCTCTTCTTATAGAATATCAGCAATTGTATTTAGTAGGTAATTTAAGAACCCATGGGTATCTTGTTGCATGCAGAAAAACTCATTTTCTTTCTGTAACCTTGTTTTGAACTTCTCGGGCGATATTACTTCAACCTTTTCCTTCTGTGTGGCTACACAGTGGAAGAAAGTTGCTGAGCACATTAAAATTTTCCTTCTACCTAGGTTGTCTTGTATGCTAGAACTTTTTCCTGAAATGGATGACAAAAATAAAGCGCATGAAGAACTGAATTCCCAAAATTGCACATATTTCCCAAATTGACTAACCCAAAAGTGCCCATTGCAGGTATTCCCAAAATTGACTAACCCAAAATAGTGTTCATTGACTGGAAACTGTTCTGGGCCAATCTCTTTCTCTAATGCTGAAGCACTGGCACTCGTGGTCCAGATGGAGGCAGGGGAGGAGAGAAGCTAGGCCACCCACTTGCATTGCAAAGCATGGGCCACAAACCCACACACCAAACCTGCCCAGCCACCATTGCCCAATTTTTTTTTTACAATTTCTGTCTCTTTATTAATATTGTATATCTGTTAAAATGTTGTAATCATACTTTCCTTTTGTTCTTTAAGCATAGTTTGCTTTAGTTCTTCAATTTTTTTTTTTTTTTTTTTTGGAGACAGAGTCTCACTCTGTCGCCCAGGCTGTACTGGAGAGTACAGTGGCACAATTTTGGCTCACTGCAACCTCCGCATCCCAGGTTCAAGCAGTTCTCGTGCCTCAGCCTCCCAAATAGCTGGGATTACAGGCACCTGCCACCACGCCCGACTAATTGTTTTTATTTTTGGTACTTGTAGTAGAAACGGGGTTT
The DNA here is from genome assembly GCF_000001405.40 of Homo sapiens. Taxonomy (NCBI): domain Eukaryota; kingdom Metazoa; phylum Chordata; class Mammalia; order Primates; family Hominidae; genus Homo; species Homo sapiens. The sequence continues at coordinate 148,297,081 of NC_000002.12, forward strand.
CACCGTGTTGGCCAGGCTGGTCTGGAACTCCTGACTTCAAGTGATCTGCCCACCTCAGCCTCCCAACATGCTGGGATTTACAGGCATGAGTTACCGTGTCTGGCCTCTTTGCATATCTTATAATATTTTATTGAAAACTGGACTTTCTAGATAGCATATTGTAGCAATTCTGAATATTAGTCCTCAATATTTGTCATTGTTGTTGGCCTGTTTATTCATTTAATGACTTCCCTGGACTATTTTAACAAAATCTATTCACCACCTATGTGAAGCTTCTGATGTTACTCTTCAGAGCACGCAGCCTTTCCCATGCATATAGTCCTCCTGGGATGACAGTAGCTATGACAGACTCCCTTTGACTGTCTCTTTCCTTGATCTGTTATGCTGTTTGCTTCTATTGGTATCATACCTACCTGTTAAGCTCTACTAATTGCTGGGGTAATGCTTTATTGTTTCCAATAATACCCCAGGGAACAAACTGCTGTAGTCTGTTCCAATTAAATTCTGTCCCCTATACTGAACTAATTTTGAGGCCATTCTTTGAAGTTTATTCTGACTCCAGGAAGATTGTTCTTAACTGCCTCTTTGATTCTCTCTGGCAAATACCTTCAAGTTTTGGGGAGTGTTTTTCTGTTTTGTTTAATAACTGATATCCAGTCATTTCCTATTGTTCACCGAGATGACCTACTACTTAGCTTATTTCTCTCATGGAGATACTAGCCTCCTTTTGCATACCATCAGAATCTTCATTGTTTCAAGAGCACTCTTGGGCTTGAATTCTCCCTCACTCTATTCTCAATAAAGTCAGTTCTCTTGGGGAGAGCTTCGGAGTTCTCTGTTCTTATGATATTCTCCTCCCCCTGGGCAAAATCTTGGAACTACTAGCCTGAAGCTAAGGTTAGGAACAGCAGCCCACTTTTCATGCAGTGGCAAACCTGTTTTATGAGCAGAGCAGTGTGCAGAGGAGTAGCCTCTAATCTCTTGGCTTGCTTCTCCCAGCATGGAACCTGTGCCCTAAGGGTGAGCTGGGGCATGGATGCTTTAAGCTCCAGTGTTCTCAGTCTACCTCACCTGGAGTAGAAGAACTTTTGCTCTACAGGTAAGGTCTTGGTGCAGAAAGGGAACCCCTGGCCTCTCAACTGTACTTGAGTAGAATTTTACATCTGCAATACATAGCTGGGGTCATGAGAAATGTTGATAGCTTGCCTTCTGTGGAAGATATCAGAGCCCTTGGCTGGGAGGTGGGGAGAAGGGCAGCCCTGTAATCTTGACCACACCTACCTGGAGTGGAGCTTCTGTCCTGCTGAGCTGGTGAGTGGGAGTGAGGAAGGCAGTGGGTTGTGACTCAAGTGCCAGTGACTCTCTTTGTTCTTCCCAAGAGTTAGTAAATTGTCTTGCACAAATGTTTCTTCATTGGCTGTGTGCCCTGAAGACAATTTTCAGAGATTTTAAATGATTTTATTTTTATAATTTTTTACCAGTTATGGTTGTTTCACTGGGGAGCTCCTCACTCCTCATCCATTCCAGAAGTGAGTCTGGGCTATTATCTTTTGGACAGTATCCCATAAACCTCTCTTCTTCTTCTCAGAAGGAACTTTATTACTGTATGATTTATAATTTATCAATATATTGCTTATAGCTCTAGAAATCGGCATCATGCCATAAACCACTTTGTACACTGCATGTCAGTAAATTACAGCATCCTCATATATCAATATTGTATGTATAGACTTAGTGCCAACATGTACGAATAGGCACAACCTAACCTAAGTACACCTGTTTATATACATGGCATTCTGTAGGTGATATACAAGGAAAGAGAATAAGCAATTCTGGGTTACAGCCAATCTCAGTTGTAGTCATGCTACTGCCTCCAAATCCAGTGTGACAAAGCAAGGATGGGGAAACTTTCTCCTTTCCCCATCCTTGATGGTCCCCCAGTTAACCCAGGATATGCTAGGCCAAGCCAGGCCCTTTTTCTTCTCTAGCAGTTTCTTCCTAGAACCTCCCAGCAGAAGGTAAGCTTTGCTCCATCCTCTGTTTAAAGAACTTTCTTTTTTTTTTTTGAAACAGAGTCTAGCTCTGTCGCCCAGGCTGGAGTGCAGTGATATGTTCTGGCTCTCTGCAACCTCTGCCTCCCAGGTTCAAGCGATTCTTCTGCCTCAGGCTCCTGAGTAGCTGGGATTCCAGGCATGCACCACCACACCCGGCTAATTTTTGTATTTTTAGTAGAGACAGGTTTCCTCCCTGTTGGTCAGGCTGGCCTTGAACTCCTGGCCTCATGTGGTCCACCTGCCTCAGCCTCCCAAACTGCTGGGATTACAGGAATGAGCCACCATGCCTGGCCTAAAGAACTTTTTTAAAGAACTTTGTCTAAAGTTGTTTGTAACTTTAGGAGTTCTTCTTTGCTCCTGCAACCCTCTATTCTCTCCAAATGTTCATTGACTACTAATGCTCTATTCTGTTTCACCGGAGAAAAATGAAGGACCGACCTTCTGGATCTATTGCTTAAGCCTTCAGGTGCCTGCATATAAGATATATAAAAGGCTCAGTTTTATTCCATTTCCTGGGGTGTTTTGTTTTGTTTTAATAACTGATATCCAGTCATTTCCTATTTTGTTCACTGAAGTGTCATGTTTTACCCATATGCAGAGTTAACAAGTTTCTATTATGTATGATCTCCATTTTCAAAAATGTCTGAGGACCTGTAGAGTACACTTTAAATGCTTCAGGAAGTCAGTCATAACCTTTTATATTTGCCCATAGTTTGCTTTCTTGCCTCATCTCTGATCTCCCTGAGCTCCATTTATACTGGGCCAAAAACTTACTGCTTTCTCTTAAGCAGACCATCTATTTTATGTGTCAGTGCTTTTGCTTTCACAGATATTTAACCAAATGATTGTCACAGAATATCCTAATAGTAATATGAGATATCAGGGACCCAGTACATACCTATTGAATAAGTGACTACATTTGGGGATTTTTTTTTTTGAGATGGAGTTTCACTCTTGTTGCCCAGGCTGGAGTGCAGTGGCACGATCTCAGCTCACTGTAACCTCCGCCTCCCAGGTTCGAGCAATTCCCCTGCCTCAGCCTCCCAAGTAGCTGGGATTACAGGTGCCCACCACCACATCCAGCTAATTTTTTGTATTTTTAGTAGAGACAGGGTTTCATCATGTTGGCCAGGCTGGTCTCGAACTCCTGACATATCATCCACCTGCCTTGGCCTTCCAAAGTGCTGGGATTACAGACATGAGCCATTGCGCCCGGGCATGGGGATTGTTTTTTAGAAAGCTCTTCATTTGATTCTAAAGCTACTTAAGATCCAATGCTATTCTCTCTTCTTTTCCTGCAGTGTCTTCCCTATCATCACTTGTTCCCTTTGCTTGACAAAGTCTTGCTTAACAAAAAGAAGAAAGAAAAAAAAAAACTAGACACAACTAAAATATTACCTTCCTTGAAAAGTTTTTCTCAATTTTGTCTGTATTCCTCAGCTAGTGGATATTTGTTATTCTTGGATAATTAGTATTAGAACTCTTTTTCTGGGTTTAGGGAGTACCCTACACTCTGAATCAGAGACATTTTCTATCTTACAGGCTTAAAATGCCAACTACTTACTCTCCCAGTCTCTGTTACACATTGGGCATGAGTCCATAAACAGGACTGCCAATCAGGCATACTCACCACAGACTTTGAAACAAAAATTAGAGACATGAAAAAAATGTAGACTACAGACTCCATTTCTGGAGTCTTCATTTCTGAAGTAGCAGTAGCAGCTACTTCCAGTTTCCAAATATAACAGAAAAGTTATTATAGTGGCAACATCTATCCTGCAGCTTCCAGACAGTAGCATTGCATGCTGCACGCTCCTTTCCTGGTTGGGTAACTTCCAAAGCTGTTTCTATAGCATCCTGAAGAATTCTGTGAGGTGTTTCCTATCCTTTGATAAATGTATTTTCTTCTGAAATTATAAGTTGGTTTCTATTGCTGGTGACTAAGATGGAGGGACACCTCTGTGCCCCTAAAGCACTTCATTCATAAGCCAATATAGCAACAAACCAAACTATCTTATAGTTAATTGCCAATAGAATATGAGTTAACTGAGTCAAGAAGGAAAGAAAACACATTCTAGGCAGAAAAGCATAGCAGTAGCCTGTGTAGCTGGAAGGAACATAGAAGGTACCAGGGACTAAAGGGACAGTGTGTCTGGAAGATAAAGTGAAGTAACTGGTGAAGAGTGTCAATGGATGGGAAATTGTTAGAGGAATTAAGTAACTGAATCATACTGTTAGCAGTGGTGAATCCATATGGGTTTTCAACAACCTTAATTCTTACCTCCTCAGAAGAAATAATTCAACAAAGGGGCATAAGAGCAGAGTGGGAGACTGAGGCAAATTTTAGAGCAGGAGTGAAAGTTTATTAAAAAGCTTTAGAGCAGGAAGGAAGGGAAGTAAAGTACACTTGGAAGAGGGCCAAACAGGTGATTTGACAGATCAAGTGCACGGTTTGACCTTTGACTTGGGATTTTATATCTTGGCATGTTTCTAGGGGAATTACGTCCCTTTTCCCCTGATTCTTCCCTTGGGGTGGGCTGTCCTCATGAGCAGTGGCCTGCCAGCACTTGGGAGGGGCTATATGCATAGTATATTTGCTGGAGTTGTACACGTGCTCACTTGAGGCATTCTTTTCTTTAGCAGTCTAGTGTTCTTAGAAAAAGGTCATATACCAGTTAAACTCTGCCATTTTGCTTCTTAGTGTACATGCTTGACCCCACTTGCCTAACTCCTGAAATCTTATCAGAAAGCTGCTGATCACCAGTTTCAGGTGTTTCTATCTATTGGGAGACTGCCTTTCCCTGGCACCAGCTGTGACCAATTATTATTTTAGAGAGACAGACCATCCACCTGACTCTCACCTGATGGTTGCCTGACATTCTTGGTTGGGAATGGGGGGCCCTCTCCTGCCTTGCTCGTGTCTGACTAGCTACCTACTGTAACAATACTAGCTGTATAAGACCATGTGAAGATATTTTTAAGTTCAAAAATAACATAAAGCTATTGAGTCTTTATAAATGGCAGATATTATGCTCAGATTAATATTTTGAAAAAAATCCTCTTGCTGTGGGCATGAAGAATAGATTGGAGGTGGGAAAATACTGGTGATTTTAGTTGGATTTGTGATTTGCTCATAGTGTTAAGTTCTGTATTATTGTTCCAAGTGATCACTGCCTCCAGACCAGATCTTTCTATTAATGCTTACTTTTTCCTTTTGGAGCAATCTGGAATGAGGACTTTCCCTCCCCATCAAAAAGCCTTTTATTTTAACCTTTAAAGCTACCTAAGACACAGAACAGGCTAGAGCAATATTTTCTCCATGCTTCTTGCTGTTATTAATAGCTCTTGCTAATAGAGATGTAATTTTTTAAAGTCAATGTTCTGCTGAAGAGACTTAAACTTATATCAAGTCCATTTAATTACATATAGATGTGGGACTTAGATTGGATTATTTTTCTATGCAGATATTAAAGCATTTCGGTTTTGGGTTTTTGTTTGTTTTTTTTCTGGGTTTTCTGGAGACACGGTCTTACTCTGTCACCCAAACTAGTGTGCAGTGGTGCTGTCATGGCTCACTGCAGCCTCAACCTCCTGGTTTCAAGTGATCCACCTCAGCCTTCCGAGTAGCTGGCACTACAATGTACACCACCCTACCTGGCTAATTTTTTTTTTATTTTTTTAGAGATGAGGTGTCACTATCTTGCCCAGGCTTCTGTTTTATTTTGAAAGCACGGTTGCTTTCATCTTACTCTTTTCAAACTAAAGTGAAAAGTAAAATGATATACCACACTAAAGCGTATATGTTTCATTATATCATATATACATTATATGTTATACATTATTATATATATTATATATATTTATTTGAAGAGCTATTCAAAAATAAAATTTGAAGATGTTATTTATATTTTTAGTTGGTCTCAGAAAGTGAAATAATGATTGCAGATTGCCAGATTGCTAATGGCCAGCAAAATAATTGGAGCTGCTATTGGTTTTTAATAAGTGGAACCTTCTGAATTTTAGCAAATCCAGCAAATCATTACAAAAGGCATTCAGTAGTAAATCAGACAAACAATTTGGTGTTTCGTTAATTAGTATATTCAAGCCATTTAAGCTTCTGAAGAATAAGGTTGCCCTGCCAGAAAATCTTTCCAAGCATACTTAAAAAAGCAATATTCTAAACAAAGGCACAGCATTTGGTTGCTAATATATGCAAAGTTGGTAGGGAAAAGTCTGTGTGGCTACATGACAGGCCAGCCGGCTTACCACAACAGCACAGCAGGGAGCAAGGGGAAGTATTGGAGGTTAAAGGCAAAGACAAAGAGGAGTTTTCCAGTTCCAGAGTGTTATTTCATATAAGAATGATTTTGTTTGCTGTTGTTGACCTTATCTGTCCACATCATTTCTTAGTTATTTTAACTGACAAAAAAAGAAAAGTGTAGAATATGAATAAGAAAAAATAAAAGCATATATTCTTTGTCTAAAGTAAAATTCAGGAAATATTAGGTTTAACAATTTGAAAAGATCTGTCGTTTTTGTGAGTCAAAAATGATTGATTATGGACAATTTCATGTGGTTCAACCTAATCAAACCTACCAGTAGATTGTAATACATCACAATATACAGCATGTTGCAAATATAGTTTGCTCACTCTGAATAGATTTGTATATCTTTTTCTTTTTTTGTTATCAAAAATTATTTGTAAGAAAATATTTACTGGTATCAAATAAATCTAATTTTATTAGGTGTCAGAAACACTTGATGTGGACATTTTTAATAGAGATTAAAGCTCAAAAGAAACCTTTAAAGTAATGAGGGGGCAATAGAGTACAAATGACCTCAAAGCCTAACGCTGATGAACTGAGCCAACTTATAATGCCCTCATCAATCTCTCAGCTGATATTCCAGGACTCAGAGATTTTCCACAGCCATATATCCACACTGCAGATCTCCCCGATTCCTAGGAGTCTGAAATCTCAGGAAAGATGAGAGTCAATGTAAGTAGTAATAATAATAATAGCAGCTAACACTTAAACAGTATTTACTGTACCCAGGCACTGTTTTAAGTGTTTTACATATATTAATTCATTTAATCCTCAAAGCAATCTAATTAAATAGGTAATATTAACATCAAGAAATAGGTGAGGAAATGCAGGCACACAACAGTTAAGCAATTTGCACAAAAGTGCCACAGTAAGTAAGTACCTGAGCCAAAATTTAATCCCAGGCGTTCTGGCACAAGAGTCAGTACTTAACCAGCAGCAAACTGCTTCTCAATATAAAAAAAAAAGTCTAGCATCACTGAATCAATTCTAGTACATTGTGGGTTGCAAAATTAGTTGAAATACCAACATCCTTAATAAAGCTTTTCAAGCTTCTTTTCATTCTAATAGCTACTATTCTGGACTACGTTAAAGAAAAATATTATGGATGACATTTGATAAGACAATATGTTCAAGGGACTACTGCATTGGGGACTGCAGTGGGAGAGAGAGATTGGGCCCAACTCTAACTCCAATAAGGGCAGTGGGTATCTATACCCAAGGAGCAGAGTGGGTGTCAGTGGATGGAAAATTACTGAAAGGAAACATCAGAGGCAAGGAGAATTCTGGCTGAACTGACTTGACAGGGTTATTTTAAAAGGCACGCCGGGCGCGGTGGCTCACGCCTGTAATCCCAGCACTTTGGGAGGCCGAGGCGGGCGGATCACTAGGTCAGGATATCGAGACCATCCCGGCTAAAAAAACGGTGAAACCCCGTCTCTACTAAAAATACAAAAAATTAGCCGGGCGTAGTGGCGGGCGCCTGTAGTCCCAGCTACTTGGGAGGCTGAGGCAGGAGAATGGCGTGAACCCGGGAGGCGGAGCTTGCAGTGAGCCGAGATCCCGCCACTGCACTCCAGCCTGGGCGACAGAGCGAGACTCCGTCTCAAAAAAAAAAAAATAAAATAAAATAAAAGGCAGGCCATTTGATCAGATATCAAGGATGGGAGATTTTTGCTAAACTGATCCAGCAGGATACTTGCTTAAAGTAGACTAAACAGTCAGAGTCACTAGACTAAGGATGGAGCCCAAGATTGAAGCCTTGTTAAGAGGAGGACTCAGAGGAGCCTAACGTTTAGTCAAAGGAGAGAGTTTCTGTCAATCCTCCCTGTTGTTCAAAGGAAAGAAGAGTCAATCTTCTTTTCTTTAAATAATAAAAGTCCATTCCTCATTTGGTAGAGGATGTCTGCCGGATGGTATGAACAATCAGGCATTTAATGAGTGGCATTTCTATGAAACAGAAAAAGAAAAACCAAGATTAATGTCTACAAACCCAGTTTCTGTGTCCAGAGGGCAGCCAGTCAAGAAGATTTCTGGTTATTGGGCTCAAAGCATCTTTAAATGGTCGACTGAGGGTGAGAGAAGCAACCCCACACATTTCCTGGTTTGCAGTTTGAATGTGTTTAGCGATGACATCGGGTGAACTTTCTGAGGGGCCCAAACAGCAGCAGGCATGATGTCGCCTGCACACAATCTGTTATGGTAATTTGTTTGAAGTTCATGTCAAGTTGTCCAGCCTCAGCTTGCAGAGCTTTGGGAAAATGGCAGTTTTAGTTCTTAGTGATGCCAAAGCAGAAGGATGGGAGAAAAAATTAGAATGTTAGTTTGGACAGTTGTAGCCAGATATCAAAGGAAACTAGAGGAATTCTGGATCCCGTCCAGTTTACAAGTATATAATGAAACCTCAAAGACAGTGAACAGAGCTAGAATCTAATAACAGGTCCACTATAGTTTTCCAGTGAAACAAAATTTTTTACAATCTCCCCCCTTTTTAATTTTTTATTACAAAATAAATCTAGTGTCATTAGATTTGACCTGATTATTTAAATAAGCATGGCAAGAATGGTAATTGATCACATAGGCTTTTAAAATTTGCTTTGTTTGAACTTTTCATAAGGAATCTCAGATTAAACTTTTAAAACCCAGGCTAGGATAGCAAGCCAAGAACTCACCACCAGATTTTGCCACCTATTACGCCTACAGATTTAAGTGAATTCCTCTCTTCTCTAAGTCACCAAGGTATCCAGAGTTTCCTGGGCCTCCCAGGAAGAGACTTCTGTATTCAATTGTAAGAACGGGAACCCTGTAAGCCAGGTACCAGGCTGGTATCTTAAGAGGGCTTTGTAAGCATTGGCTTATAAAGTTGACTCTAGTTTCTTAAATCTGTTTAGTCATATCTGATTCTGTGTACTTCATTCTAAAATATGCCATTCCAGTCAAAGCCTTGGTAATGTAATCAATGTTTCCAGCTCTGTCCTGCTATAATAAAAACATATTTTATTGAACTTATACAAACAACTATATTGCCATAAAAATAATAATACTCAATAATAGTATCCATATTTTGGAGAGATTAGGCAGGGAGAAAAAAATAAATGTTTCGTTTTGTTTACAAAGACATAATCTGTAAGATTGCTCTAAGTTATAGATAGTTTAAGAGAAAAAGGTTTCTTTAAATATGGAAAACAAAACAACAAAGAACCAGCAATGTTTCAAACAAAACCTAATAAAAATTAGTTCATTCAGTCTCATGTAATTAATTTTTGTTCTGCTTGATCTTGAATTAATAGTTTTATGAACCCATCAACTTCTAAGGGTCTGATAACAATTTATTTGAAAAGAGAATTTGGTTGTTTCTGTGACACACAACAATAATAACCAGAAAAGAGGATTTTGGCAAAGTCCTATGAATGTCATACAATTTCTGGAATATTTATATCAATGACATATACTCATAGAAATAGAAAATAAATAAGCTTAAACATCACATTTTATTTGACAGTGCTTCCTTGTAATTTAACATGTCAAATACACCAATGTAGGGTAACATCCTTCTTTTTACAAGATTAGAGCATTTAGGATTTGATTTGGGGAACTTTGTCAAAAATGTTAAAAGTTGGAACACTTGATTAAATGGGATCACAGGTCACTGTGAAACAATACTTAGTTGTTTATTTAACCAAAGTAATTATAAAAGGTTTTGCAGGCAAATACAGAAATTTACATAATTGTAAAAAAGAAACCTTAGGTCTTTTAAAATTGATAAGACTTAGGTTTTTTAAGTAATTGAAAACAAACAGACTAGAAAACTTTATTCTTTTAACAAAGAGAAAACCCAATTGTAGCTTTTCATCAGAAAATTATGAGCTCTATTTTTTTAAAGAACTTTATAAGTAAATCCATCCAATCTTAGCAACTTGATTATACAAAATTTCTTTTTCACAAACTTTTACAACCATTTTACATCCATTCAGTTTTTATCATACTCTTTTCCTCTTTCACATCCTAAAACAACAGTCATCTTACTGTAGTAGAAAACTCCCTTTTTCCTCAGTGAAAACACATTTTTAAATCTTTTATACTGTTTCTTACTAAAAACACATCTTACTTTTCTTACACATTTTGCACACAAAGTTGTTTCCCTTTACCTTTATTATTTCTAGTAGTTTAAATTACATATATTGCTTATACTTTTTTTATTATACTTTAAGTTCTGGGATACTTGTGCAGAACGTACAGGTTTATTATATAGGTATACACATGCCATGGTGGTTTGCTGCACCCATCAACCCGTCATCTACATTAGGTATTTCTCCTAATGCTATCCCTCCCCTAGCCCCCGACCCACTGACAGACCCAGGTGTGTGATGTTCCCCTCCCTGTGACCATATGTTCTCATTGTTCAGTTCCCACTTGTAAGTGAGAACATGTGGTGTTTGGTTTTCTGTTCCTGTGTTACTTTGCTGAGAATGATGGTTTCCAGCTTCATCCATGTCCCTGCAAAGGACATTAACTCACTTTTTTTTACAGCTGCATAGTATTCCATGGTGTATATATGCCACAATTTCTTTATCTAGTCTATCACTGATGGGCATTTGGGTTGGTTCCAAGTCTTTGCTATTGTGAACAGTGCTGCAGTAAACATATGTGTGCATGTGTCCTTATAATAGAGTGATATATAATCCTTTGGGTATATACCTAGTAATGGGATTGCTGGGTCAAATGGTATTTCTAGTTCTAGATCCTTGAGGAATCACCACACTGTTTTCCACAATGGTTGAATTAATTTACCCTCCCACCACAGTGTAAAAGCGTTCCTATTTCTCCACATCCTCTGCAGCATCCGTTGTTTCTTGACTTTTTAATGATTGCCATTCTAACTGGCATGAGATGGTATCTCATTGTGGTTTTGATTTACATTTCTCTAATGACCAGTGATAATGAGTTTTTTTCATATGTTTGTTGACCTCATAAATGTCTTCTTTTGAGAAGTGTCTGTTCATATACTTCTCCCACTTTTTGATGGGGTTCTTTCTTTTTTTTTTTTTTTTTTTTTTTTTTTGATGGGGTTAAGTTCCCTGTAGATTCTGGATATTAGCCCTTTGTCAGGTGAATAGGTTGCAAACATTTTCTTGCGTTCTGTAGGTGGGCTGTTCACTCTGATGAGAGTTTCTTTTGCTGTGCAGAAACTCTTTAGTTTAATTAGACCCCGTTTGTCAATTTTGGCTTTTTTGGCATTGCTTTTGGTATTTTAGTCTTGAAGTCTTTGCCCATGCCTATGCCCTGAATGGTATTGCATAGGTTTTCTTCTAGGGTTTTTATGGTTTTAGGTCTTACATATAAGTCTTTAATCCATCCTAAGTTCATTTTTCTATAAAGTGTAAGGAAGGGGTCCAGTTTCAGTTTTCTGCAAATGGCTAGCCAGTTTTCCTAACAACATTTATTAAATAGGGAATCCTTTCCCCATTGCTTGTTTTTGTCAGCTTTGTCAAAGATCAGATAGTTGTAGATGTGTGGCATGATTTCTGAGGCCTCTGTTCCGTTTCATTGGTCTATATATCTGTTTTGGTACCAGTATCATGCTGTTTTGGTTGCTGTAGCCTTGTTGTATAGTTTGAAGTCAAGTAGCATGATGCCTACAGCTTTGTTCTTTTTGCTAAGGATTGACTTGGCTATATGGGCTCTTTTTTGGTTCCACATGAAATTTAAAGTAGTTTTTTCTAATTCTGCAAAGAAAGTCAATGGTAGATTGGTGGAGATACCATTGAATCTATAAATTACTTTGGGCAGTATGGCCATTTTCACGATATTGATTCTTCCTATCCATGAACGTGGAATGCTTTTCCATTTGCTTGTCTCCTCTTTTATTTCCTTCAGCAGTGGTTTGTAATTCTCCCTGAAGAGGTCCTTCACGTCCCTTGTAAGTTGTATTCCTAGGTATTTTATTCTCTTTGTAGCAACTGTGAATGAGAGTTCACTCATGATTAGGCTGTCTGTCTGTTACTGGTGTATAGGGTGATTTTTGCATGTTGACTTTGTATCCTGACACTTTGCTGAAGTTGCTTATCAGCTTAAGGAGATTTTGGGCTGAGACAATGGGGTTTTCTAAATATAAAGTCATGGCATCTGCAAACAGAGACAATTTGACTTCCTCTCTTTCTATTTGAATACTCTTTATTTCTTTCTCTTGCCTGATTGCCCCAGCCAGAACTTCAAATACTATATCGAATTCAAATTCCTGAATAGGAATGGAGAGAGAGGGCATGGTTCTCTTGTGCCAGTTTTCAAAGGGAATGTTTCCAGCTTTTGCCCATTCAGTATGATATTGGCTGTAGGTTTGTCATAAATAGCTCTTATTATTTTGAGATACATTCCATCAATACCTAGTTTATTGAGAGTTTTTAGCATGAAGGGTTGTTGAATTTTATCAAAGGCCTTTTCTGCATCTATGTGGTTTTTGTCATTGTTTCTGTTTAAGTGATGGATTATGTTTATTGATTTACAATGTTGAACCAGCCTTGCATCCCAGGGATAAAGCCAACTTGATCATGGTGGATAAGCTCTTTGATGTGCTGCTGGATTCAGTTTGCCAGTATTTTATTGAGGATTTTTGCATTGATGTTCATCAGGGATATTGGCCTGAAATTTTCTTTTTCTGTTGTGTCTCTGCCAGGTTTTTGTATCAGAGTGATGCTGCCCTCATAAAATGAGTTATGAAGGAGTCCCTCCTTTTCTATTGTTTGGAATAGTTTCAGAAGGAATGGTACCAGCTCCTTTTTGTACCTTTGGTAGAATTCGGCTGTGAATCCATCTGTTCCTGGGGTTTTTTGGTTGGTAAGCTATTAATTACTGCCTCAATTTCAGAACTTGTTATTGCTCTATTCAGGGATTCGACTTCTTCCTAATTTAGTCTTGGGAAGGTGTATGTGTCCAGGAATTTATCAATTTCTTCTACATTTTCTAGTTTATTTATTTAGAGGTGTTTATAGTATTCTCTGATGGTAGTTTGTATTTCTGGGGGATCAGTGGTAATATCCCCATTATCATTTTTTATTGTGTCTATTTGATTCTTCTCTCTTTTCTTCTTTATTAGTCTGGCTGGTGATTTATGTATTTTGTTAATCTTTTCAAAAAACCAGCTCCTGGATTCATTGATTTTTTTTGAAGTGTTTTTCGTGTCTCTCTATCCTTCAGTTCTGCTCTGATCTTAGTTATTTCTTGTCTTCTGCTAGCTTTTGAATTTGTTTGCTCTTACTTCTTAGTTCTTTTAATTGTGATGTTAGGGTGTCAATTTTAGATCTTTCCTGCTTTCTTCTATGGGCATTTGGTCCTATAAATTTCCCCCTAAACACTGCTTTAGTTTTGTCCCAGAGATTCTGGTACATTGTGTTTTTATTTTCACTGGTTTCAAAGAACATCTTTATTTCTGCCTTGATTTCATTATTTACCCAGTAGTCATTCAGGAGCAGGTTGTTCAGTTTTCATGTAGTTGTGTGGTTTTGAGTGAGTTTCTTAATCCTGAGTTCTAATTTGATTGTACTGTGGTCTGAGAGACTGTTTGTTATAATTTCTGTTCTTTTGCATTTGCTGAGGAGTGTTTTACTTCTAATTATGTGGTCAATTCTAGAATAAGTGCTATGTGATGCTGAGAAGAATGTGTATTCTGTTGATTTGGGGTAGAGAGTTCTGTACATGTCTATTAGGTCGGCTTGGTCCAGAGCTGAGTTCAAGTCCTGAATATCCTTGTTAATTTTCTGTCTAGCTGATCTGTCTAATATTGACAGTGGGGCATTAAAGTCTCCCACTATTATTGTGTGGGAGTCTAAGTCTCTTTGTAGGTCTCTAAGAACTTGCATTATGAATCTCTCAGTGCTCCTGTTATTAGGTGCATATATATTAGGTTAGTTAGCTCTTCTTGTTGCATTGATCCTTTTACCATTATGTAAAGCCCTTCTTTGTCTTTTTTTACCTTTGTTGGTTTAAAGTCTGTTTTATCAGAGACTAGGATTGCAACCCCTGCTTTTTATTGCTTTCCATTTGCTTAGTAAATATTCCTCCATCCCTTTATTTTGAACCTATGTGTGTGTTTGCATGTGAGATGGGTCTCCTGAATACAGCACACTGATGGGTCCTGACTCTTTCTCCAATTTGCCAGTCTGTGTCCTTTAATTAGGGCATTTAGCCTGTTTACATTTGAGGGTAATATTGTTATGTCTGAATTTGATCCTGTCATTATGATGCTGGCTGGTTATTTTGCCTGTTAGTTGATGCAGTTTCTTCATAGTGTCGATGGACTTTACAATTTGTTATGTTTTTGCAGTGGCTGATACCGGTTTTTCCTTTCCGTATTTAGTGCTTCCTTCAGGAGCTCTTGTAAGGCAGGCCTGGTGGTGATAAAATCTCTCAGCATTTGCTTGTCTGTAAAGTATTTTGTTTCTCCTTCGCTTTGGAAGCTTAGTTTGGTTGCATATGAAATTTTGGGTTGAAAATTCTTTTCTTTAAGAATGTCGAATATTGGACCCCACTCTCCTCTGGCTTGCAGGATTTCTGCAGAGACAGCTGCTGATAATCTGATGGGATTCCCTTTGTGGGTAACTTGACCTTTCACTCTGGCTGCCCTTAACATTTTTTCCTTCATTTCAACCTTGGTGAATCTGACCATTATGTGTCTTGTGGTTGCTCTTCTCAAGGAGTATCTTTGTGGTGTTCTCTGTAATTCCTGAGTTTGAATGTTGACCTCCCTTGCTAGGTTGGGGACGTTCTCCTGGATAATATCCTGAGGAGTGTTTTCCAACTTGGTTGCGTTCTTCCCATCACTTTCAGGTACACCAATCAAACGCAGGTTTGGTCTTTTCACATAGTCCCATATTTCTTGGAGGCTTTGTTCGTTCCTTTTCATTCTTTTTTCTCCAATCTTGTTTTCACACTTTATTTCATTAAGTTGATCTTCAATCTCTGATATCCTTTCTTCCACTTGATCGATTCGGCTATTGATACTTGTGTATACTTCATGAAGTTGTTGTGCTGTGTTTTTCAGCTCCATCAGGTCATTAGTGTTCTTCTCTAAACTGGTTATTCTACTTAGCAATTCCTGTAACCTTTTTTCAAGGTCCTTAGCTTCCTTGCATTGGGTTAGAACATGCTCCTTTAGCTCAGAGGTGTTTGTTATTACCCACCTTCTGAAGCCTACTTCCGTCAATTTGTCAGACTTGTTCTCTGTCCAGTTTTGTTCCCTTGCTGGTGAGGAGTTGTGATCCTATGGAGGAGAAGCATTCTGGTTTTTGGGATTTTCAGCCTTTTTGAGCTGGTTTTTCCTTGTCTTCCTGGATTTATCTACCTTTGGTCTTTGATGTTGGTGACCTTCAAATGGGGTTTCTGTGTGGTTGTCCTTTTTGTTGATGTCGATGCTATTCCTTTCGGTTTGTTAGTTTTCCTTCTAACAGTCAGGCTCCTCTGCTGCAGGTCTGCTGGAGTTTGCTGGAGGTCCACTCCAGACCCTGTTTCGCTGGGTATCACCAGCAGAGGCTGCAGAACAGCAAAGATTGCTGCCTGTTCCTTCCTCTGGAAGGTTCGTCCCAGAGTGGCACCCGCTAGATGCCAGCTGGAGCTCTCCTGTATGGGGTGTCTGTCGACCCTTGCTGGTAGGTATCTCCCAGTCAGGAGGCACGGGGATCAGGGACCCATTTGAGGAGGCAGTCTATCCCTTAGCAGAACTCGAGCACTGTGCTGGGAGATCTGCTGCTGTCTTCAGAGGTGGCAGGCAGGAACATTTATATCTGCTGAAGCTGCGCCCACAGCTGCCCCTTCCCCCAGGTGCTCTGTCCCAGGGAGGTGGGAGTTCTATGTATAAGCCCCTGACTGGGGCTGCTGCCTTTCTTTCAGAGATGCTGTTCTCAGAGAGGAGGAATCTTGAGAGGCAGTCTGGCTACAGCGGCTTTGCCAAGCTGTGGTGGGCTTCGCCCAGTTCAAACTTCCAGGCAGCTTTGTTTACACTGTGAGGGTAAAACCACCTACTCAAGCAGACGCACCTCCCTGCTCCAAGCTCGAGCCTCCCAGGTTGACTTCAGACTGCTCTGCTGGCCACGAGAATTTCAAGCCAGTGGATCTTAACTTACTGGGCTCTGTGGGAGTGGGATCCACTGAGCTAGACCACTTGGCTCCCTGACTTCAGCCCCCTTTCCAGGGGAGTGAACGGTTCTGTCTCATTGGCATTCCAGGCACCACTGGGGTATGAACAAAATCTCCTGCAGCTAGCTCAGTGTCTACCCAAATGGCTGCCCCATTTTTGCTTGAAACCCAGGGCCCTAGTGGTGTAGGCACCCAAGGGAATCTCCTGGTCTGCAGGTTGTGAAGACCATGGGAAAAGCAGAGTATCTGGGCTGGAATGCACTGTTCCTAATGGCACAGTCCCTCAATCCTTCCCGTGGCTAAGGGAGGGAGTTCTCTGACCCCTTGTACTTCCTGGGTGAGGCAACGCCCCACCCTGCTTCTGCTTGCCCTCCATGGGCTGCACCCACTGTCTGACCAATCTCAATGTGGTAAGTTGGATACCTCAGTTGGAAATGCAGAAATCACCCGCCTTCTGCATTGTTCTCGCTGGGAGCTGCAGATCGGAGCTATTCCTATTCGGTCATCTTGCCAGCCACCCTGCTTGTACTTTTTAGCCATCAGTAGTCTTTTCCTTACAGAGAAAACTAGGAAGTAGAAAACTGTAAACTGTCTGTCATAGATCAGCATTTTATAAACATATCATCTCACAATTCCTACAGACATACGCTTCCTCATACTATAGTTTTTCATGTGGCAAAAGGAAATTTTTTTTTTACAGACCTAGATATCTTAACTTCTTTATATTGTATGAAAACAAGATGCCAAAAGTTTATAAACTTATGTTCAGCAATTAATGTTTCAGTGTTATGGTTTTTTTTTTTTTTTTTTTGAGACAGAGTCTCACTCTGTTGCCCAGGCTGGAATGCAGTGGCACCATCTCGGTTCACTGCAACCTCCACCTCCCAGGTTTAAGGGATTCTCCTATCTCAGCCCCCCAGGTAGCTGGGATTACCGGCAGTGCCACCACTCCCAGCTAATTTTCTGTAATTTTAGTAGAGATGGGGTTTCACCATTTTGGCCAGGCTGGTCTCTAACTCCTGGCCTCAGGTGATCCACCCTCCTCGGCCTCCCAAAGTGCTGGGATTACAGACGAGATCCAGCGCATTCAGGGTGGTATGGCCATAGACAAGTGCTGGGATTACAGACGTCTGCCACTGTACCCAGCCTGTTTCAGTAGTTTTTTCTTTCTTAGAAATTATTTAGATATTCAGTAACTATCTCTTACTCAACATAGCATAACTCTAAAGTTTCAAGTTACCAAAACAGTTGGCAACTGTTTTTAGGCATATATATATATGGTTATTTTAGGGATGGTTATTACTGAAAAGCTCATTTATAAGCTTTTATCGACTTATATCCATTCAATTCACTTGTTTGTAACAACTATGTTTGTATTGTTCATGGATATTTCATGAGACATTAAACAAAGCTACCCATTATCTTTTTTTCCTTCTTTTCTTTTTCTGAGGAGAGGGGGACTAAGAACAGAGCCCAAGATTGGAGCCTAGTTAAAAAGAGGACTCAGAGGAGCTTGATTAAAATTTGGTCAAAGGAACTTTTTCCATAGTTCTTTAGCTAGGTTACAGATTGTTCATCTCCATATTCTAGACCAACCTGCATCCTGCTGCTACATTAGTATAAGTAAATCATCATTTTAATCCTGTTACTACCTTGCTGAAATCCCTCTTACGGTCCCACATATCCACTGCCAGAAAAGGATGTAAACAAAGGTAGCATAGCTGAAAGCACCTCACCACAAGCTCAATATTTCCTTGAAGTCTCTTGTTTTACATTAAAAATTCACACATTTTACATTTCACTCCAAAATACATCTGTTTGTTTTAATATAAAAATAATGTTTTAAATCAGGTATCACTTAAATTTCTTCACTTAATTCTTCAAATGTTCAAGTAAAATTGAAGAGTCGGGAAGATGCTTCATGTTTATCCTGGGCCTTCCAGTGGACCATGAGGTATATATTTCTACTTGAAGAGCCCAAGTATACAGAATACATTTTAGGTGACTTTGCTTATTTTTAAGACCCTCAATTATCTGGCCCCAGTCCAACCTTCCCATCTTATATATTGCTGTTTCCCTCCATTAATCCTCTGATAAATCCATTCCTCTACCCATCTACAATTATTTACAACATGCCCACCATGTACCAGGCACTGCATTCTGAAGATGTCTTATAATGTATACCACCCATGTATCTTTACTTTTGTCCTTTCTCCCTACTTGGAGTATCTTCCCTCTTTACTTCGTGCTAATCTTCAAGACTAATTTTAACACCAGTTTCATTAGTCCGTTCTCACATAACTGTAAAGAACTGCCTAAGACTGGGTACTTCATAAAGAAAAGTGGTTTGATTGACTCACAGTTCCATAGGCTGTACAGGAAGCATGGCTGGGGAAGCCTCAAGAAACTTAAAATCATTGTAGAAGGTGAAGGGGAAGCAGGCATGTGTTACATGGTCAGAGTAGGAGGAAGAGAGCAAAGAGGCTGGTGCTACATACTTTTAAACAACCAGATCTCATGAGAACTCACTTCTTATCATGAGAACAGCCAGGGGAAAATCTACCCCCATGATCCAATCACCTCCTACCAGGGCACTCCTCCAACACTGGTGATTGCAATTTGACATGAGATTTGGATGGGGACACAAATCCAAATCACAACACCTGCTTTTCCTGACTACCCCAATCAGGACTCTGAATTCCTATAAAACTTACTTGATACTTATTATATAATAGTCTATATTCTTGATATTTGTATGAGTAGGTCTTGTAAATGTTTTAAGGAAGAGTTTGTCATGCTGAGAAGCATGTAGATTACATTGGGTATATAAGATGAAAGTAAACATGTATTTATAGTTTCTTATTTATTATATGCAATCTCATATCCTCAGCTTGCTACCAAATCAGTGGGCATTTAGGAGTTGTTCCCACCAGTAATATAACATTATAACCCTTGAAATAGACCCATTCAGTGACTCAAGATTTAAGTTAAAGTGTAGTGATACTTTACATTTCTTAAATAAAATCATCATATTTCTTAAAAAAATTAAACCCAGAATCTAGCATAATACTTGGTTCATAGTTGATATCCAATAAATACTTCTTACAATAATAAATGAATGGATGAACAAATTAAAAAAATGAAGTTGATGGTTAATAATAAAAATATTTTTAAAAGGAAAAAGGAGGAAAATTGTACATACAAGATAGAAGCTTATTTTACATCAGAGTGTTTGGTAATAAGAAAAGTCAAGAATATTCAGAAGTAAGATTAAGTTGATTAGTCTTTCAGACCAGGTCAGTTTTTTGTGTTGAGCTTGTGCTTTGTTATTTATTGTTTTGAGGTTTTAAAAGCATTTAGATGGGACTAAAGTTACACATCTTCACTTAATGGGAAAAGCATCAGGGTACTTGAAAGCATAGACAATTTTCTTCACAACTTAAACCATGCTAAAAAGGAGATTAATATTATCCCAAAACTCCAGTATAAAGCAGTGGCTCACACCTGTAATCCCAGCACTTTGGGAGGCCAAGGTGGGTGGATCACCTGAGGTCGGGAGTTCAAGACCAGCCTGACCAATATGGAGAAACCCTGTCTCTACTAAAAAATGAATAAATAAATTAAGAAATACAAAATTAGCCAGGCATGGTGGCGCATGCCTGTAATCCCAGCTACTCAGGAGGCTGAGGCAGGAGAATCACTTGAACCCGAGAGGCAGAGGTTGCAGTGAGCCGAGAACACACCATTGCACTCGAGCCTGGGCAACAAGAGCGAAACTCCGCCTCAAAAAAAAAAATTGAGTTAACCACATCTAAAGAACCATGTTTAAAGCCTCTAAAGTAATAGATGGGGCCAAAGTAATTATTTTTAAAAAATTATTTTAATTTTAGTATATTTAGTGGGTACAAGTGCAGACTTTTACATGCATTTATTGTGTAGTGGTAAAGTCTGGGCTTTTATTGTATTTGTCACCCAAATAAGGAACAATGTACCCAATAAGTAATTTTTCAACCCTCATCCCTTCCCACCCTCCCACCTTTTGTTGTCTCTAGTGTCTATTATTCCACTCTGTATGTCCAAGTGTTTCCGTCATTTAGTCCTCGCTTGTGTGAAAACATGCAGCATTTTACTTTCTCTGTCTGAGTTATTTCACTTAGCTGTAATGACCTCCAGTTCCACCCATGTTGCTGCAAAAGACATGATTTCATTCTTTTTTATGGCTGAGTAGTATTCCATGGCATATATATACCACATTTTCTTTATCCAGTCCTCTGATGATGGACACTTAAGTTGATTCCACATCTTTGCTTTGTGAATAGTGCTGCAATGAACACGAGTGCAGGTATTTTTTGATATAATGATTTCTTTCCCATTGGGTATATACTCAGTGGTGGAATTGCTAGGTTGAATTGTAGTTCTATTCTTAGTTCTTGAAGAACTTTCCATACCAATTTCCATAAAGGTTGTACTAATTTACATTCCTACCAATGGTGTATACATATTTTCTATTATCCCCATCCTCTGCAACATCTGTTGTTTTTTCACTTTTTAGTAATAGCCCTTCTGACTGGTGTAAGATGGCATCTCATTGTGGTTTTAATTTTTATTTCTCTGATGATTAGTGATGTTGAGCATTTTTTCGTGTGTTTGTTAGCCACTTGTATATCTGCTTTTGAATAATGTCTGCTCATTTACTTTGCCTACTTCTTAATGTTTTTTTTTTTAATTATTTTTCTTGTGAGTTGTTTGAGCTCCTTGTAGATTCTGGATGTTAGCCCTTTATTTGGATGCAGAGTTTACAAAATTTTTTCCCATTCTATAGATTGTCTGTTTTCTCTGTTAATTGTTTCTTTTGATGTGCAGAATCTTTTTAGTTTAATTTAGTCCTATTTGTCTATTTTTCTTTTTCTGGCATTTGTCTTTGAGAACTTACTCATAAATTCTTTGTCTAGGTCAATGTTCAGAAGAGATTTCCTCGGTTTTCTTCTAGGATTTTATAGTTCCCAATCTTACATTTAGATATTTAATCCATCTTGAGTTAATTTTTGTATATGGTGATATACAAAAATTCTTACGCATATGGCTATCCAATTTTCCCAGTACCCCTTGTTGAATAGGATGTACTTTCTCCAGTGTATTTTGGTTTCTTCTTGAGACAGAATCTCACTCTTTCCCAGGCTGAAGTGCAGTGGTGCAATTTCGGCTCACTGCAACCTCTGCCTCCTGCGTTCAAGTGTTCTCATGCCTCAGCCACCCTAGTAGCTGGGATTACAGACATGCGCCATCATGCCCGGCTAATTCTTTTATTTGTAGTAGAGACAGGGTTTCACTGTGTTGGCCAGGGTAGTGTGGAACTCCTGGCCTCAAGTGATCTGCTAGTCTCGGCCTCCCAAAGTGCTGGGATTACAGGCATGAGCCACTGCACCCAGCCTCTCAGTGTATATTTTTGTTGACTTTGTTGGAGATCAGTTGGTTATATGTGTATGGCTTTATTTCTGGGTTCTCTATTCTGATCCATTAATCTTTGTATCTATTTTTATACCAGTACCATGCTATTTTGGTTACTATAGCCTTGTAGTGTAAACCGGAGTCAGGTCATGTGACATCTCCAGCTTCATTCTTTTTGCTTACAATTGATTTGGCTATTTGGGGTCTTATTTTTTAGACCCATATTAATTTTAGGATTGTTTTTTCTAATTCTGTGAAAAATGGTGCTGCTAATTTGATAGGGATTGTAATGAATCTGTAGATTGCTTTGGGCAGTCTGGTCATTTTAACAATACTGATTCTTCCAATCCATGAGCGTAGGATGTTTTTCCATTTGTTTGTGTCATCAAAGATTTTTTCATCAGTGTTTTGTAGTTCTGTTTATAGAGATATCTCACCTTGGTTAAATATATTTCTAGGTTTTTGAGTGGTTTTTTGTAGCTATTGTAAATGGGATTGCCTTCTTCATTTGGTCCTTTACTATATCATTATTGGCACATAGAAATGCTACTGATATCTGTATGGTAATTTTGTATCCTGAAACTTTACTGGATTCATTGATCAAATCTAAGAGGTTTTTGGTGGAGTCTTTAGAATTTGCTAGATATAAGATCATATCATCAGTGAACAGGGATAATTTGAATTTCTGTTTTCCAATTCAGATACCTTTTATTTTTCTATGTTTCCTGATTGCTGTGGCAAGGACTTCCGGTACTGTGTGGAATAAGAATGGTGAATGTGGGCATCCTTATCTTGTTTCACTTCTTAGAGGCAATTCTTTCAAATTTTCCCCACCAAGTATGATGTTGGCTCTGGGACTGTCATATATGGCCTTTGTTATTTGGAAGTGTGTTTCTTCTATGCCTAGTTTGTTGAGGATTTTTATCATGAAGGGATGCTGAATTTTATTGAATGCCTTTTCTGCATCTATTAAGATGATCATATGATTCTTGTTCTTAGTTCGTTTTGTGATGTATCACATTTATTGATTTGTGTATGTTGAATCATCTTTGCATAAATCCTACCTAATCATGGTATGTTATGTTTTTGATGTGTTGTTGGCATTCTATTTGCTAGTTTTTTGTAGAAGATTTTTGCATGTATCTTCATCAGGAATATTGGTCTGTAGTTTTGTTGTTGTTGTGTCCTTGTCTGGTTTCAGTGCCATACAGACCTCATAGAATGAGTTAGATAGAATTACCTCCTCCTCGATTTTCATCTGCTCCTGCACTTTTGTTTTATTGGGAGTTTGGGTTTGTTGTTGTTGTTGTTGTTTTTGCTTTTTGTTGTGGTTTGGTTGTTTGACAGAATCTCACTCTGACACTCAGGCTGGAGTGACAGCCTGAGTTATGGTTCACTGCAGCCTCGACCTCTCAGGCTCAGGTGATCCTCCCATTTCACCCTCCCAAGTAGCTGGGACTACAGGTGCATGTGCCACCATGCCCAGCTAATTTTTGTATTTTTTGTAGAGATAGAGTTTCACTATATTGCCCAGGGTGGTCTCAAACTCCTGGGCTTAAGCATTCCACCTGCCTTGGCCTCCCAAAGTGCTGGGACTATAGGCATGAGCCACCACACCCAGCCCTGTTGGGACATTTTTTTATTTACTGACTTAATCTTGCTGTTCATTATTAATCTGTTCAAGGGCTCTATTTCTTCCTGGTTCAACCTCAGGAGGTTGTATGTTTCTATCCCTCTAGGTTTTCTAGTTTTTGAGCATATAGTTGTTCATAATAGTTTGATAATCTTTTGTATTTCTGTGGTATCAGTTGTAATGTCTCCCTTTTCATTTCTGATTGTGTTTATTTGGATCTTCTCTCCTCTTTTTTAGTCTAGCTATTGGTTTATCAATTTTGTTTGTCTTTTCAGAGGAGCAACTTTTCATTTCATTTTTCCTTTTTATTTTTTGTCTCTATTTGATACCTTACATTTTAAATGAAGGGAAACTAAAAAAATTTTTCAAACCTATATGCCAAAGGGAATTTCATAACAAAGGAATTCTGTGGTCAAATTAATTTGGTAAAATATACTGGATTGAACTGCATTATGCAAGCATGTATTGCATTTCTGTAGATGTATATTGTTCAATGAAATATAACTTAGTAAACAGTTACATTATTCCAAATTATTATAGACCAAGGGTGTCCAATCTCTTTGGCTTCCCTGGATCACATTGGAAGAAGAATTGTCGTGGGCCACACATAAAATACACTAACACTAATGATAGCTGATGAACTAAAAAAAAAAATTGCCAAAAAATCATATAAAGTTTTAAAAGTTTACAAATTTGTGTTGGGCTGCATTCAAAGCCATCCTGGGTCTCATGCAGCCTGCAGGCCATGCATTGAACAAGCTTGTTATAGACATTTGAATTGTGTCCTGTCATGCAGATAGGTTCCCAAGGGCCATTTTTGTGGTATCTGTTTTTGTCCCCTAGGTGTGCAGGTGTGGGAAAGCAGACCCACTCAGATCCCTACTAACTTGCCTATGAAAAACATCTAGACTAACCTTCAAGATACCACTAATACATCTATCAATCAATCACAAAAGCCTGGAATTCTGAAAATACTGGATTATAAATATTTTTAAAGCATCCCCAGTACTTTTTTACCTTTGTGCTTTTGCAAACCTTTCCCATTCCATTTGCTTACTCTCTCTTTCCTCTATTTCTATATATTAAAATCCCAACTCTTTTTTTAAGAGATGAAGTCTCACTATGTTACCCAGGCTGGTCTTGAACTCCTGACCTAAAGCAACCCTCCTGCCTCGGCCTCCTAGAGTGCTGGGATTACAGATATGAGCTGCCACCCCCAGCCTTAATTTTTTTAAAATGCCATACTCTCTTTGAACCTTTCTCCAAGCTCTCCAATGGGAATTAAACTATTCCTTGTTTGGTTTTCTCATTCTCACTTTGCATTTATTTCACTGATAGCACATCTAACAATCTGCTTTATTGATCCACACAATTGTTGTGCATGTACTCTACGCTAGACTCCATAATATGACCTCTAGTTCTTCCTCGCTCTGGAGAAGCTCATAGGCTAGCCGAGAAGGCAGATACATAAGCAAATTTCTACAGTGTAAAGTGATATGTATTCATAAAGGTATACAACACTGATGGTAATCGGATTGACCTGAGAAAATATGGACTAAAGTATTTGAATGTAAATTGGCTTATACAACTAAGCTTTTAGCTTCATTTATAACGTTCAAGTCTAAAGTAGAATGTTGTCATTCTTGTTGTACATAACTTACTATTCAACAGCTTGTAAGTGCCTTGAGGACCTGACCTGTGTATTTTTCATTTTTCTATTTCCTATTGTACCTAGTACTACTTTAGTTACCTAGAATACATTCAATAAATGTTTGTTAAATTTCGTTAGTTTCTAAGAGTTGCTCATTTTTATGAAATTTGATCTTAATCTGCAGTTTAATCTATCTTCATATTCAGACTCCTATTTTTTCCTACTTTAAAATGTAATTGTAGGGAAGGAGACAACACACAAGACTTACATACCTTGATTATTATTTGACTTTCTCAGTGGCAGTTTGGAAACTGTAGACTTACTCCATGTGCATTGCCTTTGCACAAAATATTTACGGAATTGCTTTTGTTCCACACTATTTTGAACACACATGTTAGTTTCATCAGAATTCTTAGTCCAACTAAATGTCATCTAAAACTAAGTTTAGTGAGTCAAAAGTTATATATATAACTTTTATACATAAAAACCTGATGAAGTAGATGCAAAAGTTATATATATCTTTATTTATTTATTTATTATTATTATACTTTAAGTTTTAGGGTACATGTGCACAATGTGCAGGTTAGTTACCTATGTATACATGTGCCATGCTGGTGCGCTGCACCCACTAACTCGTCATCTAGCATTAGGTATATCTCCCAATGCTATCCCTCCCCACTCCCCCAACCCCACAACAGTCCCCAGACTGTGATGTTCCCCTTCCTGTGTCCATGTGTTCTCATTGTACAATTCCCACCTAGGAATGAGAATATGCGGTGTTTGGTTTTTTGTTCTTGCGATAGTTTACTGAGAATGATGATTTCCAATTTCATCCATGTCCCTACAAAGGACATGAACTCATCATTTTTTATGGCTGCATAGTATTCCATGGTGTATATGTGCCACATTTTCTTAATCCAGACTATGATTGTTGGACATTTGGGTTGGTTCCAAGTCTTTGCTATTCTGAATAATGCTGCAATAAACATATGTGTGCATGTGTCTTTATAGCAGCATGATTTATAGTCCTTTGGGTATATACCCAGTAATGGGATGGCTGGGTCAAATGGTATTTCTAGTTCTAGATCCCTGAGGAATCGCCACACTGACTTCCACAACGGTTGAACTAGTTTACAGTCCCACCAACAGTGTAAAAGTGTTCCTATTTCTCCACATCCTCTCCAGCACCTGTTGTTTCCTGACTTTTTAATGATCGCCATTCTAACTGGTGTGAGATGGTATCTCACTGTGGTTTTGATTTGCATTTCTCTGATGGCCAGTGATGGTGAGCATTTTTTCATGTGTTTTTTGGCTGCATAAATGTCTTCTTTTGAGAAGTGTCTGTTCATGTCCTTTGCCCACTTTTTGATGGGGTTGTTTGTTTTTTTCTTGTAAATTTGAGTTCATTGTAGATTGTGGATATTAGCCCTTTGTCAGATGAGTAGGTTGCAAAAATTTTCTCCCATTTTGTAGGTTGCCTGTTCACTCTGATGGTAGTTTATTTTGCTGTGCAGAAGCTCTTTAGTTTAATTAGATCCCATTTGTCAATTTTGGCTTTTGTTGCCATTGCTTTTGGTGTTTTAGACAGGAAGTCCTTGCCCATGCCTATGTCTTGAATGGTAATGCCTAGGTTTTCTTTTAGGGTTTTTATGGTTTTAGGTCTAACGTTTAAGTCTTTAATCCATCTTGAATTGATTTTTGTATAAGGTGTAAGGAAGGGATCCAGTTACAGCTTTTTACATATGGCTAGCCAGTTTTCCCAGCACCATTTATTAAATAGGGAATCCTTTACCCTTTGCTTTTTTTTCTCAGGTTTGTCAAAGATCAGGTAGTTGTAGATATGTGGCGTTATTTCTGAGGGCTCTGTTCTGTTCCATTGATCTATATCTCTGTTTTGGTACCAGTACCATGCTGTTTTGGTTACTGTAGCCTTGTAGTATAGTTTGAAGTCAGGTAGTGTGATGCCTCTAGCTTTGTTCTTTTGGCTCAGGATTGACTTGCCGGCTCTTTTGTGGTTCCATATGAACTTTAAAGTAGTTTTTTCCAATTCTGTGAAGAAAGGCATTGGTAGCTTGATGGGGATGGCATTGAATCTCTAAATTACCTTGGGCAGTATGGCCATTTTCACAATATTTATTCTTCCTACCCATGAGCATGGAATGTTCTTCCATTTGTTTGTATCCTCTTTTATTTCCTTGAGCAGTGCTTTGTAGTTCTTGAAGAGGTCCTTCACATCCCTTGTAAGTTGGATTCCTAGGTATTTTATTCTCTTTGAAGCAATTGTGAATGGGAGTTCACTCATGATTTGGCTCTCTGTTTGTCTGTTGTTGGTGTATAAGAATGCTTGTGATTTTTGTACATTGATTTTGTATCCTGAGACTTTGCTGAAGTTGCTTATCAGCTTAAGGAGATTTTGGGCTGAGACAAGGGGGTTGTCTAGATATACAATCATGTCATCTGCAAACAGGGACAATTTGACTTCCTCTTTTCCTAATTGAATACCCTTTATTTCCTTCTCCTGCCTAATTGCCCTGGCCAGAACTTCCAACACTATGTTGAATAGGAGTGGTGAGAGAGGGAATCCCTGTCTTGTGCCTGTTTTCAAAGGGAATGCTTCCAGTTTTTGCCCATTCAGTATGATATTGGCTGTGGGTTTGTCATAGATAGCTCTTTTTATTTTGAAATACATCCCATCAATATCTAATTTGTTGAGAGTTTTTAGCATGAAGGGTTGTTGAATTTTGTCACAGGCCTTTTCTGCATCTATTGAGATAATCATGTGGTTTTTGTCTTTGGTTCTGTTTATATGCTGGATTATATTTATTGATTTGCATATATTGAACCAGCCTTGCATCCCAGGGATGAAGCCCACCTGATCATGGTGGATAAGCTTTTTGATGTGCTGTTGGATTCGGTTTGCCAGTATTTTATTGAGGATTTTTGCATCAATGTTCATCAAAGATATTGGTCTAAAATTCTCTTTTTTGGTTGTGTCTCTGCCAGGCTTTGGTATCAGGATGATGCTGGCCTCATAAAATGAGTTAGGGAGGATTCCCTCTTTTTCTATTGATTGGAATAGTTTCAGAAGGAATGGTACAAGTTCCTCCTTATACCTCTGGTAGAATTCGGCTGTGAATCCGTCTGGTCCTGGACTCTTTTTCGTTGGTAAGCTATTGATTATTGCCACAATATCAGCTCCTGTTATTGGTCTATTCAGAGATTCAACTTCTTCCTGGTTTAGTCTTGGGAGAGTGTATGTGTCGAGGAATTTATCCATTTCTTCTAGATTTTCTAGTATATTTGCGTAGAGGTGTTTGTAGTATTCTCTGATAGTAGTTTGTATTTCTGTGGGATCGGTGGTGATATCCCCTTTATCATTTTTTATTGCGTCTACTTGATTCTTCTCTCTTTTTTTCTTTATTAGTCTTGCTAGTGGTCTATCAATTTTGTTGATCCTTTAAAAAAACCAGCTCCTGGATTCGTTAATTTTTTGAACGGTTTTTTGTGTCCCTATTTCCTTCAGTTCTGCTCTGATCTTAGTTACTTCTTGCCTTCAGCTAGCTTTTGAATGTGTTTGCTCTTGCTTTTCTAGTTCTTTTAATTGTGATGTTAGGGTGTCAATTTTGGATCTTTCCTGCTTTCTCTTGTGGGCATTTAGTGCTATAAATTTCCCTCTACATACTGCTTTGAATGTGTCCCAGAGATTCTGGTATGTTGTGTCTTTGTTCTCATTGGTTTCAAAGAACATCTTTATTTCTGCCTTCATTTCGTTATGTACCCAGTAGTCATTCAGGAGCAGGTTGTTCAGTTTCCTTGTAGGTGAGTGGTTTTGAGTGAGATTCTTAATCCTGAGTTCTAGTTTGATTGCACTACGGTCTGAGATATAGTTTGTTATAATTTCTGTTCTTTTACATTTGCTGAGGAGAGCTTTACTTCCAAGTATGTGGTAAATTTTGGAATAGGTGTGGTGTGGTGCTGAAAAAAATGTATATTCTGTTGATTTGGGGTGGAGAGTTCCGTAGATGTCTATTAGGTCCGCTTGGTGCAGAGCTGTGTTCAATTCCTGGGTATCCTTGTTGACTTTCTGTCTCGTTGATCTGTCTAATGTTGACAGTGGGGTGTTAAAATCTCCCATTATTAATGTGTGGGAGTCTAAGTCTCTTTGTAGGTCACTCAGGACTTGCTTTATGAATCTGGGTGCTCCTGTATTGGGTGCACATATATTTAGGATAGTTAGCTTTTCTTGGTGAATTGATCCCTTTACCATTGAGTAATGGCCTTCTTTGTCTCTTTTGATCTTTGTTGGTTTAAAGTCTGTTTTATCAGAGACTAGGATTGCAACCCCTGCCTTTTTTTGTTTTCCATTTGCTTGGTAGATCTTCCTCCATCCTTTTATTTTGAGCCTATGTGTGTCTCTGCCTGTGAGATGGGTTTCCTGAATACAGCACACTGATGGGTCTTGACTCTTTATCCAATTTGCCAGTCTGTGTCTTTTAATTGGAGCATTTAGTCCATTTACATTTAAAGTTAATATTGTTATGTGTGAATTTGATCCTGTCATTATGATGTTAGCTGGTGATTTTGCTCGTTAGTTGATGCAGTTTCTTCCCAGTCTCGATGGTCTTTACATTTTGGCATGATTTTGCAGCGGCTGGTACCGGTTGTTCCTTTCCATGTTTAGTGCTTCCTTCAGGAGCTCTTTTAGGGAAGGCCTGGTGGTGACAAAATCTCTCAGCATTTGCTTGTCTGTAAAGTATTTTATTTCTCCATCACTTATGAAGCTTAGTTTGGCTGGATATGAAATTCTGGGTTGAAAATTCTTTTCTTTAAGAATGTTGAATATTGGCCTGAACTCTCTTCTGGCTTGTAGAGTTTCTGCCGAGAGATCTGCTGTTAGTCTTATGGGCTTCCCTTTGAGGGTAGCCTGACCTTTCTCTCTTGCTGCCCTTAACATTTTTTCCTTCATTTCAACTTTGATGAATCTGACAATTATGTGTCTTGGAGTTGCTCTTCTCGAGGAGTATCTTTGTGGCGTTCTCTGTATTTCCTGAATCTGAATGTTGGCCTGCCTTGCTAGATTGGGGAAGTTCTCCTGGATAATATCCTTTAGAGTGTTTCCTGCAGAGGGGGGGTTCCATTCTCCCCATCACTTTCAGGTACACCAGTCAGACGTAGATTTGGTCTTTTCACATAGTCCCATATTTCTTGGAGGCTTTGCTCGTTTCTTTTTATTCTTTTTTCTCTAAACTTCCCTTCTCGCTTCATTTCATTCATTTCATCTTCCATCGCTGATACCCTTTCTTCCAGTTGATCGCATTGGCTCCTGAGGCTTCTGCATTCTTCACATAGTTATCGAGCCTTGGTTTTCAGCTCCATCAGCTCCTTTAAGCACTTCTCCGTATTGGTTATTCTAGTTATACATTCTTTTAAATTTTTTTCAAAGTTTTCAACTCCTTTGCCTTTGGTTTGAATGTCCTTCCATAGCTCGGAGTAATTTGATCGTCTGAAGCCTTCTTCTCTCAGCTCGTCAAAGTCATCTCCGTCCAGCTTTGTTCTGTTGCTGGTGAGGAACTGCGTTCCTTTGGAGGAGGAGAGGCGCTCTGCTTTTTAGAGTTTCCAGTTTTTCTGCTCTGTTTTTTCCCCATCTTTGTGGTTTTATCTACTTTTGCTCTTTGATGATGGTGATGTACAGATGGGTTTTTGGTGTGGATGTCCTTTCTGTTTGTTAGTTTCCCTTCTAACAGACAGGACCCTCAGCTGCAGGTCTGTTGGAGTACCCGGCCGTGTGAGGTGTCAGTCTGCCCCTGCTGGGGGGTGCCTCCTAGTTAGGCTGCTCGGGGGTCAGGGGTCAGGGACCCACTTGAGGAGGCAGTCTGCCCATTCTCAGATCTCCAGCTGCGTACTGGGAGGACCACTGCTCTCTTCAAAGCTGTCAGACAGGGACATTTAAGTCTGCAGAGGTTACTGCTGTCTTTTTGTTTGTCTGTGCCGTGCCCCCAGAGGTGGAGCCTACAGAGGCAGGCAGGCCTCCTTGAGCTGTGGTGGGCTCCACCCAGTTGGAGCTTCCCAGCTGCTTTGTTTACCTAAGCAAGCCTGGGCAATGGTGGGCGCCCCTCCCCTAGCCTCGCTGCTGCCTTGCAGTTTGATCTCAGACTGCTGTGCTAGCAATCAGCCAGACTCTGTGGGCGTAGGACCCTCCGACCCAGGTGCAGGATATAATCTCCTGGTGCACCGCTTTTTAAGCCCATCGGAAAAGCGCAGTATTCGGGTGGGAGTGACCCAATTTTCCAGGTGCCCTCTGTCACCACTTTCTTTGACTAGGAAAGGGAACTCCCTGACCCCTTGCGCTTCCCGAGTGAGGCAATGCCTCACCCTGCTTTGGCTCGCACATGGTGCGTGCACCCACTGACCTGCGCCCACTGTCTGGCACTCCCTAGTGAGATGAACCCAGTACCTCAGATGGAAATGCAGAAATCACCCGTCTTCTGCGTTGCTCACTCTGGGAGCTGTAGACCGGAGCTGTTCCTATTCGGCCATCCATATATATCTTTTTAGATCAGAAACAACAGGGCATCTTTAATTAAAGTTATCTTTAATTCAAGAATATCATTCTTATTTCATTGTTTTCTGTCTTTTGAAAAAGTCATTATAGCTCAATTTTAAAATTCTTAATTGAATATTTTTAATTGAGAAAATGTATACATACATGCTCATGATCATTTTTGCATTATTACATTCACTGTCATTAGGTAATGATAATAGAGGGTGAGACAAAAATCAGCCTCATTAGCTGATTATCTGACCCTTTACCTAAAGGATCCTAACCTGGAGATAAAACCAAGGATATATCAGATGGAGCAAATACTGTAAAACAACATTTATTTCAACTGCACTTACTCAGTTTCTGAGAAATGAAACAGTAGTTGAGCTGAAGTTTACTTCTCCTTTAGCCAGAAAGAAAAGAAGTGCCAGTCAAATTAATCCTATAGACATAAATAGATAGATAATTTTAAGAAAACAAATGCTTTTTTAAAGGCTGTGAGCTTATTTGGAATATCCATTTACTTTCAATTTTTATTCTGACTTCAAAGTATTTTATAAGTTTATGAAATCATCTTTTTAAAAATATGGAGTAGGTACCTTTTTTCAATTTCCCCTTAATGTTTTATTTATAAATAATAAAACAATTGTACTTCTCCAGACTGTACTAATTAAGCCCAGTAAAATTCACTTATAAGTAATTAGTAGAGAATACATATTTTCATAAGGGTTCAAATAGGTTTATGGAGCATAAATATCACAGGGCAAAAATAGAGATTTGAGGGATACTAGCTTAACCTTTTATGTTTGATGTATAAGAAAGGCAAATGAGCTACTGTCAGAGGCATAACCTGGAATGATTTGAGCAACAATTGCACATTCTTATATTTTATACAAAATATGTATTCACAAATAATATCCAATGTGTCAAGACTTTTAACAGGGTACTTTGGTTTTTATAAAAATTATTTGTAACTGTTACAAGGCATAACTTGCTTTGTGTAGACATTAGGCTTGTTTTATAAAAAATTATGTTAGTAATAACAGTTACCATTTGCATGCTGCTTTGAGTTTACCAAATATTTTTATATCTATCATATCAGTTCATCCCAGAAACATTGAAGATAATACCGATAAGGTAGGCAAGAGTTAAGACTTCCTTGGTTGTAGGTAAGAACCCCCCCCCGCCCCCCCCACACACACACACACACTGCCTAAAGCCCTCCTGCCATACACACACACACACACACACACACACACACTCTACCTTAGGCCAAAAAAGGGTATGGTGGGTCATAGGATGAAATGTTCAGATAGGTTGATATGAGACTCCCAGCTTCTCTCTCTCTGGATTAGCGGCATTTTTAACTCCAGTCTTGGTAGCCCTGACAGTTTTGAGCATCATTGGCCCTGATTTGGCTAAATGCCAATCTCTGGACCCATCACTGTAGACAGAGAGAGAGAAGGATATGCTGATTGACTTTGGCAGCTAGACACATCTCTAGAGGTGGGGTAAGATTTCCAAAGGAAAATCCATATACAGCTACCAGAAGTAGCAGGAAAGAATGGTGAGAAGTCAAACAACAAACATCCACTCCAGCAGATGCAATCATCTCCATTTTACAGATGAGAAAATGGATACTCAGGCTATATGACCTACTCAAATGTAAGTCTTCTCATTACAAATCCTGCTATAGATTTCTTAAAGGAAAAAGGATGGAAAAGAAAAGAGACGTGGTTTCAGGTATGACATCTATTTCTAGTCTATGTTTTGTAGTTAATCAGGCATGATTGTCTTTACGGTGATAAGTGAGTTTGATCTGTGTGGGGTAGTTGAACAAGACATTTGTGTGAAATAAAATGTCCCAAGATCAGTGTGGAGGAGTAGGAAGAGGTGCAGTGGACATGATCCTTATGATCCAAAGTTAGGAATTTTGGAATACTAAATCAAAATAGCTAACAAGTATTAGCTACTTACTATGTCTCAGGCATTTTGGTAATTACTGTTCATGTATCATTTAAAAATCACCACATTCCTATGAAATGAAGATTTTACAGATAAGGGAGCTTAAGCAAAAAGAGGTTTAATATCTTATCCAAGATTATATAACTAGAAAGAAATAGAGCCAGGATTTGAATCTAATCTAGAACCTATGCTCCTACCCACAACAGTGTCTGTTTTTGTCATGGTTACCAAATAAAGTAGTGATGTTTACATATCTGCTATATGCTAGCTTCCATGGCAGATACTTGTCTGGTACAATACCTGTTTTCTAGAAATTTCTCCTATAAAGTTGTATGAGACAGCAATTCATATGCAGCACACTTAAGAATTTATAAATGCCTACTTAGTTTCCACAGATTATTAAAGTTAATTTTATGCTTTTTTAAATTTATCAAAGTTACACATCAAATTATTTAAAAAATTAAGTAGTCGTTCAAGACTTACAACAGCAGTCCCCTGCTCTAAGCTTCCTACCATCAGTTTCCAATCCCCAGATGCAATCATTTTCCATTTTTTTTTTTTTGGTAATTTAAGATTTACTTTTGTAAAGCCATGTGGACAAAGATTAAATATTATGCTTGCATTTTGAACATTATAAATACAAAACACAAAACATCCAGTGTTAAATGCTGATTTCTCATGCCTGATGTGTATTTAGATATTGAGTATTTCCCATTTTATAGAAAGGAACTTTCAAAGTTTTGTCAATACTTAAAGTGTATACTATTATTCCTCACCAAAATCTTCATGAAATTTAAAAGGCTGATATTAAAAGTAGTTTTTTTTCTTAAATATGCTAAAACATGTGAGTTTGGATTAACCTTCAGATTTTCAAGGCATGAAAGATATACAAATAGAGTACCCAATAATATGTTTTAACACAGTTAGGATAAGTTTGTTTACAGTTGTGACAGGAATGCCTTTGACTTTCAGACATTGAAAAAAAATACCCTAAGCAAACATACAGGGTGTTTTGGGTCAAGTTACTTCTTAGTAAAAATAATACATGGTAGCAATCAATTTTTAAGCCAAATTCTTAAAATCACTCAAAAAACACTTGCATTTTATAATTATCAAACAATGAGTTTATGTAACAGAAGATAAAACAAAATCTAGAAATAAAAAATCTCACACTATATTCCAAGTACCAAAATAAGAAAGAAGAAATTTGCAAATTCTTTTTTAACTGTGTCTTTTGGTAATTATAAAACAGAATATCTCTAAATCACATGATTATATTTCTACTTCTTGATTTTTTTTCAATTTCACAGGTAATCTACTAAATCCTTACTATGCAAGCTATAGACTTAGATCTCTTTATTATCTCCTACCCTACTGCCACAAGCACACCATCATTTCTATATAGTTATATAATGATTTTGTTAAGTTTAATATTCAATTGTGCATGTTATTATAATGATACAAACTCAGTTCATAGCTGAACCATATCCTGTATCTAACTCTGCTTTTCCTAAAATTAATAACTGTCTTGTCATTTGCTTGGTTCTCTATGTACTTATTTCTGATTTGGCTGAAAACTGTGTCCCACATAGTACAGATCCCTTTTCACTATCAACTTGAGGCTTCTTTCTGCCCCTGTTTTGAGTTGGATCTCCCAGTTTTCATGTCTTTTCCTTCTTGAGTTGGTCTTGCCTGTCTGAAGATGTCTTTATTGTTTACTGACATTTGATTGATATTGTGGCTGAGTATAGGATTCTGGTTTGTAATTCATTTTCTTTCTGAATTTTTATGTCTTCCCTCCATTGTCTTTTAGCCTCCAGTGTTGAAAAGTTGAAAGATAGTCTGATTTCTGTTTTATCTATTTTTCGTTTCTAGAAGCTATTAAGATTTTCTATTTCTATCAGAGATCTGAAATTTTATTAGGATATGCCCTTTTGGAGGCCTATTTTCATTCATTCAGCCAGGTACTCAGTGAGCCCTTTTAATCTGAAAATTCATCTTCTTTAGTGCAGGAAAATTTTATAAATGATTTTTTGAATTTTTTTTCTTTTTATTTTCTTGGTTCTCTCCTTCTGTTATTTGGATGTTGAACCTCCCAGACTAATTTTCTAATATTCATGTCCTTTGTCTCCTATGTTTGTTTTTTCTTAGTGTCTTTACTTGCAGGGAGATCTGACCTTTCTATTGAGTTCTTCATTTCTATCATTATTTTGTCTCTCAGCAGTACTTTCTTGTTCCCTGAATATTCTTTTGTTTTTGTTTAGACCATCTGTTCTTCTTTCATGGATGTAGTTCTTCTCTTATATGTTAGAAACATTTTTTCAAATTTTATGTCCCTAAAGAGTCTTATTTTCTGTTTGTTTTACCCTCCATCTTTCCTGTTAAGGGCTTTCCTCAGAAGTCTAGTGGTCCTTGGCTGTCACCTTATAGTTAAGGAAGTAAAAATGTGGATACCTCGATAACATGTAATTGGGGCTTAATGACTATGAATTTCCTAGATCTGACTGCTGTTTTATCCAGGAACCTAATATTGTTTTATTGAATATCTTTCTTTTGGGCCTGTTAGATTCACCAAAGAAGAATCTTCTTCCACTTTCCTACCTAGAGACTATAAGATGGGCTGCTAGCATTGTGTGAACCAAGTAAAAGAGGACTTAGAGTCTCAATATTCAGCAAATAAAATTTCATTCAGTTTTCCTCTTTTCAGTAGAGTACCCTTCAAAATTCCCCAGTTCAAGGCTGGGCACGGTGGCTCACACCTATAATCCCAGCACTTTGGGAGGCCGAGGCAGGTGGATCACTTGAGGTCAAGAGTTCAAGATCAGCCCAGCCAACATGGTGAAACCCTGTCTCTGCTGAAAAAAAAAAAATAAATAAATACAAAAATTAGCCAGGTAAGGTGGCATGTGTCTTTGGTCCCAGCTACTTGGGAGGCTGAGGTGGGAGGATCACTTGAGCCCAGGAGGTGGAGGTTGCAGTGAGCTGAGATCACACCACTGCACTCCAGCCTGGACAACAGAGCAAGACCCCATCTCAAAAACAAAAAAATTCCCCAGTTCAAGAACCTCCTATTTTATTCACACCAAAGAATGAACTTTTAGTCTTCTGCTAGAATGAGAGAGGGAAAAGTACTTGGCCAGTTGTGAATGGTGGCAGTTAATTAGAAAGTATATAATTCTTTTTAGTTTCTTCTTTTTTTTGTTTATTTATTTATTTACTTTTGCCACCTATTCTTTTATTCCTCTAAAGAAAGTATCTAATTCTTAAATAAATTTCTAACCAAGTTTGTTCATAGTCTCATCTTTATCTCACTTCCGTAAGCACTGGCTGTCACCAATTCCTAAGTCTTTTGGAAATTGTAGTACAAAATTGCTGCCTAGCTTATCATTACCAACTGCTGGTTTAGAAACCAGCTTGCTTGGGTCTGCTAAGTCAGTTAGCAATAGTCCTGCTTTCTAGCTTCCAAACTGTGGTTACTGTCACTCATCTCTCATTCTCCTTTTTCTTATTTGTTTTGTTTTTTTTTTAAGAGACAAGGTCTCATTCTGTCACTGGGCTGTAGTGCAGTGGTGCTAACATAGCTCATTACAACCTGGAACTCTTGGGCTCAAGTGATCCTCCTGCCTTAGTCCCCCAAGCAGTTGAGACTACATGTGTGCGCCACTAAGCCTGACTCCTTTTTTTAATATTTTATAGAGGCAAGGTCTTGCTATGTTGCCCAGGCTGACCTCAAGCTCCTGGTCTCAAGTGATCCCCTTGCCTTGATTTGCCAAAGCACTAGGATTACAGACATTACCATTGTGCCCAGCCTTGTTTTTGCTTTTTAATAAAATACTTAAGATAAAATTATATTTTAGTTTGGTTTTGGAAAGGGATAGAGTTAAGTGCATATGTTCAATCTACCATCTTTATGAATAATAGATACTGTTGATTTTTCTTATCTGTTGTGAAGTTTCTTCTTTTTAACATTTGTTGGATTTGAGGCAAATATCTTTTGAAATGCCAATATCTATGTGGAGAAAGTGGGAAATTGTATATCCAACCCTTGTACTCAGTCTCAGGGTAAGACTTGAGGAGATTTCTGTTTATGTATCCTATATTTTATATTTAAATGCTTATATATTTAAATGCTTGCTTCACTGCATGTAAGGGTGTTTATTACTCAGTAAACCCAGGAACAATAACTAGTAGTCATATATTATTTAATATATGTAGAGCTTAATCTCTTTTAGTTAGGACATATGATAAGATGATCAAATATTCCAAGTCAAAAGCTAGGCAACTGACCGGGTGCAGTAGCTCATGCCTGTAATCCTAGCACTTTGATAGGCCAAGGCAGGCAGATCACTTGAGCTCAGGAGTTCAAGACAAGCCTGGGCAACAAAGTGAGACCCCCATCTCTACAAAAATTATCCAGGTGTGGTGGCACATGCCTGTAGTCCCAGCTACTCAGGAGGCTTAGGTGAGAGGGTGGCTTGAGCCTGGGAGGCAGAGATTGCAGTGAGCCGAGATCCCACCGCCACACTCCAGCCTAGGCAACAGAGCAAGACCCTGTCTCAGAACATTAATTAATTAATTTTAAAAGCTAGGCAACATAGTTTAAACTTTAAGGAAAGGCTGAGCATGGGGCTCACACCTGTAATCCTAGCACTTTAGGAGGCGGAGGCAGGAGGATGGCTTGAACCCAGGAGTATGAGACCAGCTTGGGCAACATAGCGAGCCCTCTTCTCTACCAAAAATAAACACAATTAGCTGAGTGTGGTGGCTCTCACCTGTGGTCATGGCTACTCAGGAGCCTGAAGTGGGAGGATCACTTGAGCCCAGAGGTCAAAGTTGCAGTGAGCCATGATCGCACCACTGCTCTCCAGGCTAGGTGACAGAGTGAGACCCTGTCTTAAAGAATAATAATAATAATAAAATAATAATAAATAAATAAACTTTAGAGAAAGAAGATAGGTCCACCCACCATGAGCCAGACAATTTGCTTTGTATATTTTATTGTCTTACATAATACATGTATGAAATGATTTTTGACTTCTATATTTTATGGATGAAGACTCAAAGATTCAAATAAGTTATTTCCCCAAATTCATACAGCTAGTGCATGACAAAAGTCGAATTCAAATTCAAGATTCATTTATTTCAAAGTTAATGCTCTTTGGAACTGAGTCTGTGTAAGATAAGATGGCATGTGTGGTTTCCACATATGGGACTGCAATAAAGGTCCCAAAACTTGGAGAAAAGTCAAAGAAAGGTCACTATCAGAAATTGCAATCAGAAAATCCACCATTCTATTTTCTCACACCTATGTCATTGAATCCTTCTAACACCCCTAAGAGCTGGCTATGTAAGTTTAAGTTTTGTAGTTATTGATCTTAAATCTGTAAAACATTGTTTGCCTATATCAAAAAATTGATTGATCTCAGTGTCTTTTCCTGGTACCCCCACCAATAACATTTCCACAGATAAATTTGAAGTTACTTGGTCATTTCTGAATTAAAATTAATTTCAGTTTTAAACTAAGATTCTACCCCTATCTCCTATTTGTATCCCTTCTACTCTTCTTTTCTTTCTTTTCTTTTGAGACAGGATATGGCTCTGTTGCCCACACAGGAGTACAAAGGCTCAATTCTGGCTCGCTGCAACCTCCACCTCCTGGGCTCAAACCATCCTTCCATGTCAGCCTCCCTTGTAGCTGGGACTACCAGCATGCACCACCACACGCGGCAAATTTTTGTATTTTTGGTAGAGATGGGGTTTTGCCATGTCACCTAGGCTTGTGTGGAACTCCTGGACTCAAGCAGTTCTCCCACCTCAGCCTTCCAAAGTGCTGGGATTACAGACATGAGCCACCATACCTGGCCTCTTCTTCCCTTTCACTCTTCCTCAAGTTCCTGAGGGAGACTGACATATCCTGAGGCATCGTCAACACTTATGGGTTTGCATATTCTTTTCTGTTCTTGCTGGCCTCTGTTGAGTAACTGCTTGGCCCTTGGCCTTTTGGTACCATGTGCCAGCATCTACTTATGTCAGTTCCGCTTGCTTGGCCTCTGGACTTCATATACTGGATCCACTGCCATGGTCCTTGCTGTAATTTCCAATTGTGAGAACCATGTATTCCTTACCCTTCAAACCCCAGTCTCCTTTATGTCTTCCAGCTTAGTCTTAGCCACTTTTGCACCCCTCGCATGATGGAAGCTTCAATAACTTTTCACATGCTCTGCCACAATACAATGGAATGTTTAGGATTCAAAAATGTCTTCAGACAAATCTTCCCAACTACCTTTCTTAGCCTTTGTCTTTGGTACCCAGTGCTCAGTTACCTTAATCACAGCCCCTCCAAACTCTTTCCTGCCTAGTAGCCCGTACCTTATTTATTTGCATGAGAAAACATCTATTATATTCTCTTGCATTCTTGTGTACTCTATGTTTTTAGTGGTACTCTAGGTTTTTAGTGGTATGTTTTTACATAAAGAATATGGCCATATTCTTTATATAAAAGAAAATGGTTATATCCTCTTGCATTCTTGTCTACTTTATGGTTTTTATCATGTAAGCTTTATACAATGATGCTCTTAAAATAATAAGGCAGCTTTATATGTCCTGATATGATCAGTTGACAAAACATCTTACACGAAGAAAGCAAGGTATAGAACAGTATGCATAACCTGCTTCATTTGTGGAAATTTATGTGTAGCATGGCAATGCATTGAACATCTCTGGAAGGATGTATGAAAGTGGTAATGGGGGTTGCCTCTGGGGAATGAAGAGACAGATGGCTGAGGGACAAGACTGAGAGAGATTTTTTACTCCCTTTTTATATCTTTAAAATTCTATGTCATGTGAATAACCTATTAAAAAAAATAGATACCAGATAATTATAAAGCATTTGTAATTTGGCTTCTTCACTCTTGCTAATGTCCAGATCTCCTATTCTCAGACACAGATAAAAAGTAGCTTTATTGGCAAAGGTATCTTTTTTTCCTTCACTGCTTCCTGACCTTCCACTCTTTCTTGTAGGACTTTACTGAAGGCTGCATAAAGCAGCCAACCTGCTCCAACAGTCTGAATTTTTCCCTTCAATTAGAAGGGAAATACTTCAGTAGGCAGATGGTCTGAGTCCTGAAATGTAGCAGATGATAGTTTAGTTATTTTGCTAACTTGCCAGACTGAGATAGAGGGGTCCTCACTACCCTTCACCTGACCCTCTTGGCCAAGCCAAGTCTACATTTTACTTACAAGAATTTTTCAGGTTCTGTTACTTACAAGAATTTTTACCTGCAGGGTTATTACACTGAATAGATATTTAATATTATTATAAATGTATGAGTGAATAATTTTTCTAAAGGAATAAATTACCTGAGATAGTTTTAAATGTGTTTTTGATAGAGATTCTTTAAATCAATATTTAAAATTTCCCAGTTGTCCATTAATTATAGCTATCTTTTTCCTCCTGATCTGAGGTCCAGTCAAGGTTCATACATTGTATTTAGTGGTTATATTTGCTTAATCTCCTTTAATCTAAAAAAAAAAATTCCCAGCCTTATGTGTCTGTCATGTTGTTGACATTTTTTAACTCATTCAAAAACATTTATTGGCCACCTATGAAATGGCAGGCATGGTGTCAGGTTCTAGGTATTTGTACATAATAATCAGTAAAATGTTATAAATACTACAATAAAGACCGTATAAAGTGCAGAAGGAGCACAAAAGAGGAAGATACCTGTCCTCTCTCAAAGATTCAGGAAAGACATGTCAGTGGGGAAATGACATTTCAGCTAACTTGAAAGATAAGCAGACAAAAAAGGGAAAGCAGAGATCATCATATGAGCAAAATATGTGTATTACTTTTTATGTTTTTGCAAAGCACACAGTTTAGAGATCTGAGTCACCTCTGAGGATATTACCATGAGACATGAGTCAGGAGAAACACACAGGAACAGGCCTTTGTATGCTGGGCCAATGAATCTGGACTTCATCCTGTGTTTGAGAATTCAAAAGCTTTAAGGGACAGGCAGAAAACAAACACAAACATATGATGTGAAATGATAGACCTGTGGCAAACTGAATTGTATGAGTTCTGCCTAAAGACATTCAAATTTGGGCTGACCAAACCTTGCCAATGGGCTGGATTCCGTAGACAGGACCCAGTGAGGACTTTTGAGCAGGCACTCGTGACAACGTGGAGAGAAGCTAAAGTTGGGGATGATGGGGACAGGAGACAGATCACAGGTTGGATATAGACACCACAGTGTGAAGGAGGACAGATGCCTCGTGCCTATCAGGTCTCTGTGATGACTGTGTTAAAATCTCAAGCTCATTCTTGGCACCGGACATACATAGCATTCTGAAGGCAGAGGTGCTTCCATCCCCTTTTCTGCCATGTCTTCCTCTGGATGAAACACATTCCTCACTACCATCTCAATACATGATCTAAAAAAATCTTGTTTTTTTCACAAAAAGGATATGGTAGGCTGTTCTTCCCCTTTCCCAGCTTTCTTTCACCCACATGGGCCAAAGTGAGTGGCCCTCAAGTCTCCAAAGTGAGTGGCCTCCCTTTGCCCTCAAGTCCTTCAAGTTTCTCACCCAGGAATTTTCATCATCTCTGACTATGTTTTCCACATTTCTTCTCAAAGTATCATTTATTTCTGTATAAATAAGCAAGAAAATGGAGCAGAGTTTGATGAATCTCAATGAACTCATCTCTCATTTTCACATGAGCTTCAGAACACATCATGCCTCCAGATTAACAACAGTACAACACACAGTCAACACTGGCCCCTGAGCAGAAGGCCATCCAAGCACTGTACTTTCTCCCTCACCCCTAAGAGCAGGGACAAATATCCTAGTACCTGCCAACACCTAAAAGTCTTTCTTTCGTTCCTACAAATGACGATCACCATTTTGGTCACATACTCTATACAAAAAATAAATAAATAAATAAATTTATTGTCTATCCTCAATAAAAATATATTTTAAAGGTACTAGTGTTAATCTATATAAACATTACTAAAGCTTTTTTATTTTTATAGAAAACAGGTAAGTACTGATATTTCCTCCCCACATCAGCAGATTGTCTTGTGCATAACTATACCTGCTGTGTAATTCCCAGAGGCTGTATAATTTCCAGGGTTCAGATTTTTTTCTCCTTCCCTTTTTTCTCTGTATCAGTTCTTCTACTCACCAACATCTCAACACTGATTTGGGTCCCTCTCTCCCTTCAGAATCCTTTATTTCCTGGCTGTTTATTCTCAGCAACTCCTTCCATTCTGCCTAAAAACTCTTTAAAATCCTTCACAAACTAACAAACTTTAGTCCTTAGGACAAGCCAGGGTTCTCAAGTGAAATTTCAAATCTCTATGAGGCTTCCCAATACCTTCATGCCAGAAGGTAAACAAATTACTTGTCTATTCCCATCAAATTCTAGCCTTTGGACTCTAATCTCATTGACATTTTTGATTGCCCTGGGCCAGTTGTTTGCAAGATATCACTTTAGTTTGAATATTTCTGAAATTTTTTATTGTTAAATTTAGGCTAAATATTCTTTGCAAAAACATTACATTGGTGATGGTATGCCTTCTCAAGGTATGATATCATGTAAAAGGAAATTTTTAACACAGTAGACTACTATGGCTTGATGGGAGGTCTAATTTGAGTTTTTAATTCTCCATGTTTTAATTTTACAGTAATGAAGTAATTTCTTAGCGGTTTGGTACTCAAGATAGACTTGATATCGATATGTAGTGTTTTATCCAATTCATTGGCTATCATTTTGGAACAACAAAAAAATTTCCCTTTTAAGTTGATAAGTTTCTAATGATTGAGGGAGTTGATAAAATCAAGTTTCTGCCTTTTGAAGCTAAAAGCCAGGTGGCAATAATATATACCTCATAGGATTGAAGTGAGGATTATTTGAGATGTTAACAGACAAAATATAACTGTGAGTAATATGCTCCATGAAGGGGCTCTATTAATATAATTAACCCCACTCAGATATTTATTTTAAACCACACATACACACACACACACACACACACACACACACACACACACATAGCATTTATTATTGAAACTGATACTTTAAGTGCTTTGTGAATGTTAATCCTTATAACACCTCTATTAGTTAGATACTGTTATTGTTGTCATTTACAGATAGGAAGCTGTGGCCCAGAGAAGATAAGTAACTTTCCTAAGGTCTAAGCAAGTGAGTGGTAATATTTCCTGCTATTTTTCTGTGAGACCCCACTTGAAAGTAAGTGGCCTGTATAGCTACAATCTGTGTTTGAGGATGATTTTCATTCAGCTTCTCCTCCTAGATAGTTGCTTTCCCCTGTCATCCTCCTCCCACCCCAATACTGTTTTGCCAGATAATGATGGGTGTTTATTGAATGGCAGTACCACAATCCATATAGGTGTGTGATACTGTGTGTGTTTTGTATGTGTGTGCATACATCAGGCTGCTTAAATGAGTTGTTTTTCTTACTTCTTTGTTGCTTTCTCCATTTTAATGTAAGTTTTTTTTTTTCTTGTTCTCTTTTTGAGATTTTTAAGCATTAGAATTAGGCCGACCCAGATTTAAGCTGAATGTTTCTAAGACAGTGTTCTCATCTACAAAATGGTAATACTAACACCTATATCATGAGATTAAGTGAGGATTAAATTAGGTGATATTGCCAATTATAAAGGCTATATAGAGATATTTTGTATATATTTTATACTACATTTAGTTGAGTTGTTGGGGATTTTTTGGTATTTTTTGGTATTTTCCATTTTAACTTAAAAGGTTTGGAGTTTATTTTTGTTTTTAGTGGTGACGGTGATAAGACTGGCAAACTTCTTTTAATTGGGCTATAATAGAAAGAGTAGGTTTGAAGTTAGACTATTTAATATTAAATCCCAAAGCCTCAATTACCACATTTTAAAGTGGGAATGTTAATGACTGTCTTGTATCATTATAGTGATCACCATTATATCTCCAGTGCTTCCCGCAGTACCTGGCACAGAGCAATAAATATTGTTGAATAAATATCAAATAAAAAGATGTTGAGAGAATTAAATGAGATATAAAGGATCTAGCATTGTGTCTGGGTAGATAGTAGATATACAAAAT
Organism: Homo sapiens; assembly: GCF_000001405.40. Lineage (NCBI taxonomy): Eukaryota > Metazoa > Chordata > Mammalia > Primates > Hominidae > Homo > Homo sapiens. The sequence goes on from NC_000002.12 coordinate 148,341,933, forward strand.
TATACTACTATTTTTATCAATAATTTTTAATTTATTAAATATGTTTCTTCTGATTATATTATTAAACATATGAAAATAAAGTATAGAACATTTGCTTTAATTATTTCTGGTAGTTAATCATAGTATTTCTGAAGGATGAAGATACTAATACCTTGATTCTCTCTAGTTCTTTGGCAAAGACTTATTGATGTTTGGAAGTGAAAAAATGCCAACAATACTGTTAATGATTTTGAAAACAAGCCTTTAAATAAATGTGCGGACTCATGTTATTTCTGTTCCAGAGAGAAGAGGTACTCCCTTATAGGGACTCGTAAAGACATAGAGCATCTGGAAATTAACTGCCTCCATTACACTGCTGAGTCACACACAACGCTTGTTATGTTTTCATCACTTCTCTCCAGAAGGTAGGCATCATGGTTTCTCTTCATAGATTCTTCATACAATTATAGTTTTTGTCTGCAGACTTAGTTTTTATTAAATATGGGAAGTGTCTGACATCTATAGATTGAAATGCTGTATTTCTCCAAAGTTAGGATGCTTAAACACGTTGCCTCTAAAAATTATTTCTATTGGAAAATGAATACATGTTTACTATTTTTTAAAAAAAAGAATGTAATACAGAAAAATATAGTTATCCTACCACCTTCAGGTAACTATTCTTCATATTTTGTTATATCTTCCTGAATTTATTTTTATATATGTGTATTATGTATAATATGTGGATTTATATAGTTACAATAATTATGACTAGACACCATAGGGCTTAAATGGTGTTTCCCTGCTCTGCTTCTTTTACTTAGTGGTTTATTTCAGCCTTTTTAAAAAAAATTTATTTTTTTCTCCTCAACTTTTATTTTAGATTCAGGGGGTACATGTGCAGATTTGTTAACTGGGTATACTGCATGATGCTGAAGTTTGTGGTATAAATGATCTCCTCATGCAGGTACTGAGCATAGTGCCTAGCAGTCAGTTTTTCAACTCTTGCTCCCCCTTCCACCCTTTCCCCTCTAGTAGTCCCTGTTGTCTATTGTTGCTATCTTTATGGCCATGAGTACCTGATGTTTAGCTCCCACTTATGTGTGAGAACATGCGATATTTGGTTTTCTGTTCCTGTGTTAATTATCTTAGGATAATGGCCTCCAGCTACATCATGTTGCTGCAGAGAACATGAGTTCATTCCTTTTTTATGGCTGCATGATATTCCATGGTGTATATGTACCACATTTTCTTTATCCAGTCCACCACTGATGGGCACCTACGTAGATTATGGAATCTTTACTATGAAGAATAGTGCTTAATATTGTGAATGCATGTGTCTTTTTGGGAGAACAATTTGTTTGCTTTTGGATATGTACCAAGTAATGTGATTACTGGGTTGAATGGTAATTCTGTTTTAAGTTCTTTAAGAAATCTCCAAACTGCTTTCCACAGTGGCTGAACTAATTTACATTCCCGCCAACAGTATGTAAGCGTTCCCTTTTCTCCACAGCCTCACCAACATCTGTTGTTTTTTGACTTTTTAATAATAGCCATTCTGACTGGTATGAGAAGGTATCTAATTATGGTTTTGATTTGCATTTCTCTGATGATTAGTGATAATAAGCACTTTTTCTTATGTTTGTTGGCCTCTTGTATATCTTCTTTTGAAAAGTGTCTGTTCATGTCTTTTGCCCAATTTTTAATGGGGCTGTTGGTTTTTTGCTTGTTCAATTGTTTAAGTTCCTTATAGATTCTGGATATAAGACAATTGTTGGTTGCATAGTTTGCAAATATTTTCACCCATTCTGTGGATTGTCTATTTACTCTGTTGATAATTTCTGTGGATTGTCTGTTTACTTTGTTGATAATTTCTTTCGCTGTGCAGAAGCTATTTAGTTTAATTAGGTCCCAATTGCCAATTTTTGTTTTTGTTGCAATTGCTTTTGAGAACTTAGTCATAAATTCTTTCCTAAGGCCCATGTCCAGAACGGTGTTTACTGGGTTTTCTTCTACCATTCTTATAGTTTGAGTTCTTACATTGAAATCTTTAATCCATTTTTAGTTAATTTTTGTATATAGTGAAAGGTAGTGGTCCAATTTCATTCTTCTGCACTGCATGTGGCTACCAAGCTATTCCATCACCATGTATTGAATAGGGAGTCCTTTCCCCATTGCTTAATTTTGTCAACTTTGTCAAAGATTAGATGGCTGTAGGTGTGTGACTTTATTTCTGGGTTCTTTATTCTGTTCCATTGATCTATGCATCTGTTTTTATACCAGTACCATGCTCTTTTAGTTACAGAAGCATTATAGTATAGTTTGAAGTTGGGTAATGTAATGCTTTCAGATTTGTTCTTTTTGCTTTGGATTTGCGTTGTCTCTTCAGGCTCTTTTTTGGTTCCATATGAATTTTAGAACAGTTTTTTTCCAATTCTGTGAAAAATGACATTGGTAGTTTGATAGCAATAGCGTTTAATCTGTAGATTGCTTTGGGCAGTATGGCCCTTTTAAAAATATCGATTCTTCCAATCCATGAGCATGTAATGTTTTTTCATTTGTTTGTGTCGTCTGTGATTCCTAGCAGTGTTTTGTAGTTCTCCTTGTAGACAGACATCTTTCACCTCCTTAGTTAGATGTATTCCCAGGTTTGTGAATGTGTGTGTGACTATTGTAAATGGGATTATGTTCTTCATTTGGCTTTCAGCTTGAACATTATTGGTGTACAGAAATGCTACTGCTTTTTGTATACTGAAACTTTGCTGAAGTCATTTATCACTTCCAGGAGCCTTTTGGTGGAGTCTTTAGTGTTTTCAAGGTATAGAATCATATCATCCTATTGCAGCAATTTTTATGCCAGTAAATATCATCCACCTTAAATTCCAATTAAAGGTTATAACATGAATCATGTAACCACCTTCCTTTTATTAAATATATGGAAACATGACTTAAGTGATATGTATTCATATCTGATGATTTTTTAAGAGAATCTCTAAAAGTAAGTGTTATAGAACTTTAGCACCTAAACATTTTCTCTGATGGAAGGGTTCCATGACATATAACCTAAGGAAAGACTTATTCACCATCTTAGAGATATATGTCCTAGTGTATAGTATTACCGTATACCAAGGTTGTAGAAATCAAACTTATTTAACCATGGAATGCATTCTTAAGATAACGTATGTCTTCAAGATGTTGATAATGGGGGAGGCAGTTTGGAGTTGTATTAGTGAGGGTTCTTTTAGAGGGACAGAACTAATAGGATATATATATGTGTGTGTGTGTGTATATACGTATATATGTATATATACACACACACATATATATACCCACACATACACATGCGCATATATATTTGTTTCTATTGTCTATGATTCCTAGCAGTGTTTTGGGTATATATACACACACATATATATATATATGTATATACACATATACATATACACATATACACATATACATATACACATATACACATATACATATACATATATACACATATACATATACATATATACACATATACATATGTATATACACATACACATATACATATGTATATACACATACATATACATATGTATATACACATACATATACATATGTATATACACATACATATGTATATACACATATACACATACATATGTATATACACGTATACACATACATATGTATATACACGTATACACATACATATGTATATACACGTATACACATACATATGTATATACACGTATACATATACATATGTATATACATATATAAATGTATGTGTGTGTATATATGTATTATATATATTATATATATATGGAAGTTTATTAAGCATTAACTTACAGGATCACAAGGTCCCACAGTAGGCTGTCTGCAAGCTGAGGAGCAAGGAGAGCCAGTATGAGTCTCAAAACTGAAGAACTTGGAGTCCAATGTTCGAGGGCAGGAAGCATCCAGCACAGGAGAAAGATGTAGGCTGGAGGCTAGGCCTGTCTCTCCTTTTCACATTTATCTGCCTGCTTTACATTTGCTGGAAGCTGATTAGATTTTGCCCATTCAGATTAAGGGTGGACGTGCCTTCCCCAGCCCACTGACTCAAATGTTAATCTCTTTTGGCAGCACCCACACAGACACACCCAGGATTAATAATTTGTATCCTTCAATCCAGTCAAGTTGATACTCAGTATTAACCATCACAGGAAGCAAGGGGTATATGGGAGTCTCTGTACTTTCCACTCCATTTTGCTATGAAACTAAAACTGCTCTGAAAAATAAACTCTATTTGAAAAGAAGAAGAAGAAGAAGAAGAGGAAGAGGAAGAGGAAGAAGAAATGGAAAAACTTTAAAAGGGAAATTTTTTAAATGACATTTTATAAATTTACATTTAAAATTAAGTTTAGACTTACACAAACACAAATAACATCTGTCAATATCCCACTACACACTTTGAAAATGCTAGATTATGATATATTCTTAAAAATGGAATCGGTAGATCAAATAGTAAATAAATTGAAAGATTATACCAGTTTACATTTCTACCAACAGTGTTTGAAAGAATGAGAATGTCACTTTCTCTATAGTTTTGTCAACATTTGACATTAACTTTATTTTTTACAAAACCTGATACAATAAAAGTATATGGCATTTTAATTTTCATTTGTGTGATTACTACTGAGCATGAGTATCTTTTTATATTTTTATTTGAATTTTAAGTTCTTTTATGAATGTCCCATTCATGAGCCATGCCAAATTTTTCTTGTGGAGGGGTCTTTGAATTTTATGTAGACTGATAAGAATCATAATCATATTAAGAATATTAAATCTATAAATCATATATATCACAATTATGTCTTCTTTTTTATTTTTAATGTTTTGTGTGCTTTATTTTTGTTATATAATGCTATCATTTTTATGAGCTTAAATCTATCATCTTTTTCATGGCTTTTGGGTTTTGATGTTTCTTTGTACCTTGGCTTTATTTTAAAAAAAAACTATTATAGAAAGTCAGAAACAGAGGAGTTGACAGGATAATAAAATGAACCCCAATGTACCTCAAATCTGGCTTCATTAATTGAGAATTCATGGCCAATCTTGTTTCATTTATACCCCCTGTATTATTCTGAAGCAAATCCCAGGCATTATATGATTTTCTCTGTTACTATTTCAGTGTATATACTAACTTTAGATGGAATTTTGCCTAACCCATGTTTTACATCTGCCATAGTTTGGCTGAAATCACTGACTTCCACTACAATATACTTATGTTATATCAAACATCAGCATTAAGCCTGGGCAACATAGACCCTGTCTCTGAAAAGAAAAATTAACTGGGCATGGTGATGTGTGCCTATAATTCTAGCTATTCAGAGGCTGAAGCGGGCGAATGGCTTGAGCCAAGGAGTTTTGAGGCTATAGTGAGCCATGACTGCACCATTGCACTCCAGTCTGGGCAACAGAGTGAGATCTTGTCTTTAAAAAAGAAAATCAGCATTAGCTAAGATTATTGTTATTTAATTTACTATTTTAAAATGGCCTCTATAAGAATTTAATTATTTTAATATGGCATGCCTCACCAGCCTCCCTTATGCCATCCTCTCCTACACTCCCTGCTCTAGCCTTTTAATTCCCTGAGCAAGTAAGCCCCTAGAAACTTCTCTATATGCTATTCTCTCTATCCAAAATGTTCTTGCCCCAAACTTCCCCACCTCCAGTGCCGACTTATCCAAAAGGCACAGTAAGCGCAGTGCCTAGGGTTCACAAAATTTTAAGGGGTCCACAAAAATGTTTAAATTTATTTTAAAATAAGAAAACAAAGGACTTCTAGGTAAAAGAAAACATTTCAGTATACAGTATTAACTAACATATTCATCTTTTTACCATGTAAGTTGCAAAATATGATTTTTAGTTTTATTTTTTATGCTGAAAGGGGCCCATGATGGCAGAAGTACCTAGGGCCCATAAAAATGATAATGCAGCTCTTGCCTACCCTACCCCCCAATGCCACTTTTACTAGTAGAATCCTACTCATCCCTCAGGTTTCAATGAAAATGCCCCTTCTTCAGGGAAGCTTTGTCTGATTCTTCCAGATTATGTGAAATCCCCTGAAATATGCAAGCCCATCACCTTGTACGATGGAAATAAAATAAGTAATTGTATAATGCTGTGTTTAAAGAAATCAGGAACTGAGCCTACCTTGTTTAACACTATATCCCCAGCACAAAGCACAATGCCTTGTATGCAGTGATATTAGACCCTGAAGGACTGATCATCTTTCACTGTGACTCTCTTATGCCCTTGTATCCAGTGGTTGTTCCTCCCCATACCTTTTTGCACACAACTTTAGCCCGTACCTGTTCCTCTCCTTCCCTCTTGATAAAATCTAGATTGCCCAAACAGTGGGTACAAATCAGCAAGGACAATTCCTCCCTCTTGCAAGAACTATCCCTGGTTAACTCTTCCTCAAACTAGTCAGACTTTGGCTGATCCTCCTATACATTTCAACTCACTTTAAATTAGAATACACCTTTGAAGCCTTCTCATATTCAGTATTTTCAAATAAAGGTTTATATGCCCTGGCTAATTTTGTTCCACAGTGGCCATTCAATGAAGTCACACCGAATAAATTGCTGCTACATAAATTATAGGCTTGGTGTCTTGGAATAATTAAGAAATTTTTTGAGAGTAGTCTTGCAAATCTAAACATACTAAGTAATAGCTAACATGACAGTGAGAAATAATCCTAATAAGAATTTCAGTGTAAGTAGATTCAATTGTTTTTATTTGTGTTAACAGAAGGGGTTGCTGGTGTAGACATTCCAACATTGTGAGAAATATCCACATGGCTCTGTTGTGGGTTTTTTGTTCTTGCATTCGAACTTGGATTTTACGTTTTGGGGAGACTTTAGAAGTCACCAGAAAGTTGTCCAGTTTTCCTATCTTGCTCACAGTTCAGAACTGGTTTGCTTTCAATGTACATAACAGCCCCTGGAATAATGTTTGACAAATAGTAGGGCTTCAATAATTATTTGCTGAATTAACAGAACTAATACCATTTCGAACTAGTCAGGCTCAACTAGAAACAGGAGGAAGGAAGGGTAGCTTAAAAAACATCCAAGCCCTATATTTTTGCTTTGATTTATTTTATTATATTTAATTTATTCTAAAAATGAAATAGAAATCATGAGATTTTATGTTTTATCAAGGAAAATAGAAGAATAGATTTCAAAGGGTAAAAAAAAGGTCTCAGTAGTTAAAAAGCGCTACGCTAAATTCTAGGTTTCTGTAAGTGGGGTACATTTTAGTCCAATTTTCTGATCCTAGATTTACCAATGCTATTTAATCTCATTGAGTCTCTTATTGACTCAGTTTCCCATTTGTAAAATGGGGATAATGGCTAATGATGGAGTTATGAATTAATATATGAGTCAGAATAGTGTTGGTATACAGTAAGCCCTATTTAAAGCCTATTCTCCTTCATATCATCAGATTGTTACTACTGCACTTATATTTTTATTATTATCATCATCATTACTCTGTAAATTGAGTGAGATAAGTAAATGTTTTGGTTTGTTAAATTCCCCCCTTTACTATTTATTATGTAAATATGTTTTTAAAAAGTGGGTGTCATTCACACAACTTAAGTCACAACGTGTTAATGACGGAGAAGAAAACAGCATTAATATGACAGCAGGAAACTGAGGTTCTGGTAAATAAAAATACATAATTAGCCATGAATTCAAGACTTCAGAGCTTTCAAAATAGCCACACTAACCAGTTCATAATTTTGCATGTTTAGATCTGGCTAAAAGAATATTTTTGGCAATATACAATAAGTCACAATTCTCTGAAATACAAATTTGCCATGAAAATCTAATAAAAATGAGAGAGAAAATTTGTTCTCTTAAATCTTATATTACTTCCATTGAATACACACCTAACATAGTAGAACACAATTTCAGTAGTGATTTTGGGGTTACAATTTTCACATGTAATTCCTTCTGCAGGTAAATAAAAATATAAACCCAGAACAGTAAAAATAACATAAGGTAACAGTAAAAGCCTACCAAGGCTTTTGTTTAGGTAAACATTTATCTTAACACTGGAGCTTCGGAATCCTGAGAAGACCCTTGGGATAAAGTGACAGACACAGGTTTGATTCTTCCTGGTATTTCAAACAATGCCCCCATAACCTAAGGACAATTTTTTGAGGATAAATGACTGGCTAGGAGCACCAATGTCCTCAGGCCTTGCTTGGGGCCTGTAATCTCACCTAATCATTATTCACTATCCCCCAGAAAAGCCTCAAGCTAAAATTGTGATTGCTATTTAGAACTAAACTTGCAAATTCATTTTTGAACATCCGTTCTTCTGCCCTCATGACTTCATTTTTTGTTTAATTCATGTGCACCATTACATAGCAGCTGCACTAAGCATTAAAACCTACAGCAACAGTCAATGTGTTCTGAGTGCTGGCCTTCTTTATTCATTTATAAAAAGATATTCTGATAACAAAAATGCCTAAGGATTACATTGCATAATTCATGCAACTGGATATCTAGTCATTAAAGGGGATAGGAAATGCAGTGATAGTGGGCAATAGTTCAGTAAACTCAGAATTTTGCAATACAGTTTTTATAAGCCAGCTTTTACTGGAAAAATCAAAATAATTTTTATAAGTGCAAAAATAAGTTTAGAATGCAATGGTCTCTGAAAACCAGGGGATAAGCTAGAGTAAAATCAGGCTACAAATTTCCTTAATGAGACCTTTCAGTTTTTCTTGCATGGGATGTAAAATATATTATTTCTTAGCATCTATCCTGCTAAAACTTCCCATTTTTGCTTTGTTTCTAGGATTGAGCATTGCAGTCCTTTCCCTGTTCTTCCAGTAACTGTCTGCTTCAGTTGATAGTGAGACACAATTTCTTACTGATTATCATATTTAAGTCTCTTTTATCTCTTTTTATATGCAATGCTATTCTTTTTCTAGTTGAGGCTGACTTTGTTCTTTCCTCATTGAATAAGAACCACAACTGACAATATTGTGAACTCTTACTGCCATTAGTTATTATGCAATATTTTCCAATTTCCTATGATGAGCTATTACATTCACTAGCAAACCTTAACAGAAGACCTCAAGGTATTGCTTTCTTTTAGTTTTTAATACCTTAAAAACTAATCAGATATTCATCACATATAATAACACATGAAATTTTATATTCTATTTAATCCAAGGACTTTTTTTCATTTCAAATATACAATTTAATATTTTTTACAATTTGGGGTTGTGCACCCATCGTCACAGTTAATTTCAGAGCATTTTCATCACTCCAAAAAGAAATCCTATAAACACTGGTATTCACTTTTTCCACAAATCCCCCAGTCCCAGGCAGGCAACCACTAATCTACTGCCTCTGTGGATTTGCCTGCTCTAGACATTTCAGATAAATGTGATCATAAAATATGTGGCCTTTTGTGACCGGCTTGATTTACTTAATATAATAATTTTAAGGTTCATCCATACTGTACAGGAATCAGTACATCATCTCTTTTTATTGCTAAATAATATTCCATTGTATGTACATACCATATTTTATTTATCCATTCATCAGCTGATGGACATTTGGGTTGTTTCCACTTTTTGGCTACTATAAGTAATGCTGCTGCACACACTTGTGTACAATATTAGTGTATTTATATATTTTTATTTCTCTATGAGTAGAACTGATGAGTCATCAATCTGGTAAGTTCTTAAGGAATAACGTTGTAAGAATAGACAAAAGATAAATATTCCTGATGTCTGAAACCCTTTCAAGTAAAAGCACCTGGACCCTAATCCCACACTTGCTGCCAATATGTGTTTTCCTTCTCAGTGAAGAGTGCCTCCCAAGGTTCTGCTATGTAAGAATTGGGGTGTTTATTGCTGCTTCTCTCTACCCTTCATGTCCTTCATGTCAGATAACAGATGATCCTGGCATTGAAGTCTAAAAGTATAATCTCTGACTCTTGGTTCTGCAACCTATGTGTTTAGTGTAGAGATCCTCTCTGCCCTTTGTACCCTGTCTGGCTTCCTTTTGAGGTTGTCGTTGGATACTGGCAGGTTTGGTATCCACAGAAATGAGAGGAGCTTGGGTAACTTTTGGAGTCAAACCCTAATGAGTGGGACCTTAAAAAGATTTGTGTATCTTTGCTTGACTAGTTCTCAGTTTTCTTGCTCTTCCAAAGCAGAGGAAGGCTCTGGACAAAGTAGCTTTGTTATAAAAGTAGCTTGATAAAGCCATCTCCCTCTCCATGTATCTCTCCTCCTTTGCTTGAAGGCCTGAATTACCATCACCCCACCTCCTTGCCACCAATGGAGAACAATTCATATTTTTATAATACGTACCAGCTTTTTTTCCAAATTAAACTTTTTATTTTGAAATAATTATATATTCACATGCAGTTGCAGAAAATAATACAGACATATGGTGTACTCTTTACCCAATTTCCCCCAATGGTAGTATCTGTCAAATTATAGTACAATATAACAAACAAGTTAGTGACATTGATACAGCCAAGATAAAGAACATTTCCATCACCACAAGGGTCCCTCATGTTGCTCTTTTATACCACACCCATTTCCCTTCCCTCACCACCTGTTTCTTAACTCCTCACAACTCATTAATCTATTCTCCATTCCTATAATGTCATTTGAAAAAATATTTTATGAGTAGAATCACATGGTATATAAACTTTGGGGATTGACTATTTTCACTCAGCATAATTTTCTGGAGATTCATGCAGGTTACTGAGTGTATCAGTAGTTTGTTCCTTTTTATTGCTTAGTAGTGCAGGCTAAGTATACCTCTTATGGAATGCTTGGAACCAAAAGTGTTTCAGATTTCAGATTTTTGGAAGTTTTGGAATATTTGCATTATCAAACCCTGCAGAAGACCCTAATAAGGTATTGCCTTCTTTTGAAGTGATAACATAAAAACTAATCAGATATTGATCACATATAATAGCATGTAAAATTTTATATTCTATCTACCCAAGGATTTTTTGAGAAATCAAAACTGTCATGTTTCTGGAGAAAGCATATGTAAAATTTTACTCAAAAGACTTGGGAAATTCCATGATACTATTCACAATTTAGTACAATATCTCCTGAGGATAGAGAAATAAAATTTATATACTGATGGAGAGAAGAGCTATAGTTTCCAATAAAATATTACTTTAGTAAAAAAGGGCACTGAGGGTTTTTGTGTACATTAAAGGTTCTGCTTTTAACATGAGAGATAAAAAAACACTTTTGTGTCACAAGTATTTAGTATAATTAAATTTTTATAGAGGTTGTATTTGGGATTCTGACCTTTATCCTAAGAGTGATGGAAAACCTCTGAAGGGTGTATATGTGAGCAGATGTGTGTGTTTAAATCAGATTAAAACATGCGCATGGTTAAAATAAATGGTCCTTTGGCCCAAATTTTCCCATGTAAGCCTCGCTTCTCTTTCCACTTTTCCTTTGATACGTATCTCTATTTTTTCAGGTAAAAGTAATTTGCTTCCACTTGAAAATTTTTGTTAATCATTTTTTAGACATCATATATTAACAACACGCACACAAACACATAAAGGAAGCATTATATACTCACTCACCCAACCCTACCTCCACCTTTCCTGTCTCTATCATTCAGCATTTAGTTTGTTGTTGTTGTTTTGAGACATGGTCTCACTCTATCACCCAGGTTGGAGTATAGTAGCATAATTGTGGCTCATTGCAACTTCCGCCTCCCAAGCTCAAGTGATCCTCCCACCTCAGCCTCCCAAGTACCTTAGACTACAGGTGTGTGCCAGCAGGTACAGCTAATTTTTGTATTTTTTGTAGAGCCAGGGTTTCACCATGTTGCCCAGGCTGATCTCAAACTCCTAACCTCAAGTGATCTGCCCACCTCAGCCTCCCAGAATTCTGGGATTACAGCTGTTAGCCACCATGCCCATCCTTTATTTAGTTTTATCTCTATTTTTAGTTTCTCTGTTGTAACTATAATACCTTTCTTTTTTTGTCCCATTCGCTATAGATACTTCTTTGTGATTGCCCTCATCAGATGAGGATATTAGTACACCCACCTTCTCCTTCAACTCTTCTTCTTCCTGATTTCATTATCAGGTCTTTCATTTTTGCATTTCTAAAATTAATGCCAGTTACATCTTTTAAAAAAATTTTTTTATTTTACTTTAAGTTCTGGAATACATGTGCAGAACATGCAGATATGCTACATAGGTATACATGTGCCATGGTGGTTTGCTGCACCTATCAACCCATCATCTAGGTTTTAAGCCCTGCATGCATTAGATAATTGTCCTAATGCTCTCCCTCCCCTTGCCCTCCACCCCCCACCAACAGGCCCCAGTGTGTGATGTTCCCCTCCCTGTGTCCATGTGTTCTCATTGTTCAACTCACACTTATGAGTGAGAACATGTGGTGTTTGGTCTTCTGTTCTTGTGTTAGTTTGCTGAGAATGATGGCTTCCAGCTTCATCCATGTCCCTGCAAAGGACATGAACTCATCATTTTTTATGGCTGCATAGTATTCCAGGGTGTATATTTGCCACATTTTCTTTATCCAGTCTATCACTGATGGACATTTGGGTTGGTTCCAGGTCTTTGCTATTGCGAATAGTGCTGCAATAAACATACATGTACATGTGTCTTTATAGTAGAATGATTTATAATCCTTTGGGTGTATACCCAGTAATGGGATTGCTGGGTCAAATGGCATTTCCAATTCTAGCTCCTTGAGGAATCACCACACTGTCTTCCACAGTGGTTGAACTAATTTACACTCCCACCAACATGTAAAAGCATTCCTATTTCTCCACAGCCTCACCAGCATCTGTTGTTTCCCGAGTTTTTAATAATTGCCATTCTAACTGGTGTGAGATGGTATCTCATTGTGATTTTGATTTGCATTTCTCTGTAAGCTTTTTTTCATACGTTTGTTGGCTGCATAAATGTCTTCTTTTGAGAAGTGTCTGTTCATATCCTTTGCTCACTTTTTGATGGACTTTTTCATAATTGCCATTCTAACTGGTGTGAGATGGTATATCATTGTGGTTTTGATTTGCATTTCTCTAATGACCAATGATGATGCGCATTTTTTCATATGTTTGTTGGCCATATAAATGTCTTCTTTTGAGAAGTGTCTGTTCATATCCTTTGCCCACTTTTTGATGGGGTTGTTTGTTTTTTTTCTTGTAAATTTTTTTAAGTTCCTTGTAGATGCTGGATATTAGACCTTTGTCAGATGGGTAGATTGCAAAAATTTTCTCCCATTCTGTAGGTGGTCTGTTCATTCTGATGATAGTTTCTTTTGCTATGCAGAAGCTCTTTAGTTTAATTAGATCCCATTTGTCGATTTTGGCTTTTTTTTTTTTTTGCCATTGCTTTTGGTGTTTTAGTCATGAAGTCTTTGTCCCTGCCTATATCCTGAATGGTATTGCCCGGGTTTTCTTCTAGGGTTTTTATAGTTTTAGGTTTTACATTTAAGTCTTTAATTCATCTTGAGTTCATTTTTGTATAAGGTGTAAGGAAGGGATCCAGTTTCTGTTTTCTGCATATGGCTAGCCAGTTTTCCCAACAGCATTATTAAATAGGGGATCCTTTCCCCATTGCTTGTTTTTGCCAGTTTTGTCAAAGATCTGATGGTTGTAGATGTGTGATATTATTTCTGAGGTCTCTGTTCTGTTCCATTGGTCTATATATCTGTTTTGGTACCAGTACCATGCTGTTTTCATTACTGTAGCCTTGTAATATAGTTTGAAGTCCAGTAGTGTGATGCCTCCAGCTTTGTTGTTTTTGCTAAGGATTGTCTTGGCTATACAGGCTCTTTTTACATTTCATATGAAATTTAAAGTAGTTTTTTCTAATTCTGTGAAGAAAGTCAATGGTAGCTTGGTGGGAATAGCATTTGAATAGTATTGAATCTATAAAGTACTTTGCAATAGCATTGAATCTATAAAGTACTTTGGGCAGTATGGCCATTTTCACAATATTGGTTTTTCCTATCTATGAGTATGGAATGTTTTTCCATTTGTTTGTGTCCTCTCTCACTCTCTTGAGCAGTGGTTTGTAGTTCTACTTGAAGAGGTCCTTAACATCCCTTGTAAGTTGTATTCCTAAGTATTTTATTCTCTTTGTAGCAATTGTGAATTAGAGTTTGCTCATGATTTGGCTCTTTGCTTGTCTGTTATTATTATTTTGCAACCATAATTAACCATGTACATTATTGTGTGAAAAGGGCTTTTGCATTTGGTGTTCCCTCTACCTGCAACATAAATTCACTGAGATGACAATTTAATCCCTCTTTTTCTTAAATTCTTGACGATAATGGCAGCTGATCAGTAGGGCCTCCCTTGCCATACTTATTTTAAATAGCAACTTCCCATGCCTGGAATTTTTGCTCTGGTTTCCTTATTTTTTTTCTTCATAGCTCACGTTGTTAATACACATTATATATTTTAATTTTCTTAATTTTTAAAACTACTGTCACTCTCCCCCACTGGACTGTAAGCTTCAAGAAGGGAGAGAATCTGTTCTAACTAATTTAATCCATTTTTTAATTCATTACTTTCCCCATCATTACTGTATTCCTAGTAGCTAAAACAATGCTATATAACCAGCTGACACTAAATAAGTATTAATTTAATTAGTGATTAATTACAGTGCCAAGTATTCTTCTTTGGTTATATTTTCTTAAGCAATTTTTCCGTTTTCTTAGAATTTCTAATTCCCTTTTGTTTTTCTTGTATCATTTTTCTTTATGATATTCCCAGTTCTTTCCAACTCTCCATTATATAAAACATTCTGGTGTATCTCTTTCCTTTTCTTCCCCCTTTTCCTTGGGAACTGCTCTTCCAGAGTCTTGACATCCTCTGGCTGCACAACTGTCATCCTGAGACTCCCCTTTCCTGATCTTCTGGATGGTGCTATTTCAACCCACATTTTTTCTCTTTTCTTTTCTTTTTTTTTAATTCTGCTGTGATGAAGCGTATCCCTTAGCAACTCCTAAGAACAAGTATATGGATAATCAATTTTTTAAATTTTTATGTTTGAATTTTTTCTTATTTTATACTCACAAGTTATCCAGGTTCTAACATTAGAAGATGCAAGCCTAGGGGCAGAGCCTTACAGGTCTGGGGGAAAGGAGAGAAGTAGTGAGTGTATGCATCCACATTAGAAAAGGAGAAAACACATTTAAAAGGTGCTATTTTTGGCCACCTACTCTACATGAGACACTGTTTAAAATTGACATTTTGTACCACTTTCCTAACTGTTTTTTATAATAGTCTTCACAATTCATCATGTTGAAAGTTATAGAAAAGGCACACCTTTAAAGACTGTGGTGAGGAGAAGCAATTACTATCCATTTTAATTGCTTGCCATCTTAATTCTAGTTTATCTGGGACTCTAGATTACAAATCTTCCCTCTGAATTTGGAAGGTGATGCTCCACTCTCTTCAGACATTCATTTTTGTCCTTTGTAGGTCATCTGCTTTTTTCTTCTGGCTTTTAGGATTTACTCTTTTTTTTTTTTCTTGGTATTTTGCAATTCCTGATATGTCTAGGTGTAGGCCTTTTAAAATTCATGTTGTACTTGAATTTTAAGTGGGTACTCTCTTCTGAGGAGTTGTGTCCTTCATATCTAGAAAATTATCTTGCATTATTTTCTTATAATTCTCCCCTAACCCACCTTTTTTTTCTTGTTCTTTCCTTCTACAACTTTTATTATTCTATGATGGTCCACATGGGCTGGCCATTTGAAGTCTGTTCTTTTGCATGATACTTTGTTTCATTTTTAATCTACCTACTGGGAAAGCTCTCAACTCTTAAAACAAAAATTCATGGGAGGGTTGAAATATAAAATTATGTTTTTATTTTCTAAAAGTCTTTCGTATTCTCTGTGGTCTCTGTGTGTCATTGTTCATTATACAAATATTCAGTAAATCTCCCCATTTTCAGCCCTATTTCTCCCTGCTGTCCTCTTACCAGGCATCTCAGAGCCCCTGAACCTCCCTGTGTATCTACAGATCAATGGGTCTTGTCTACTCTAGGCTGAGGTTTCCTGTGCCCACTTCAGCAGTTCTAATCTGTTTTCCTGCTCACATTAATATATTGAAATCTCACATCTGTTAATGGCCCATCCTCCACCTATTGTGGTGTTACTTATTTTTTATTTCTGTATTGTCATTTTACTGGGTCTTAAAAGAAGTAAAAACATGCGTGGTCTACCTGGTATCTTTAACTAGAAGTCATTGAAAGTTTGTAGGCAAAAAAAATGGCCAGAGGAAATGCCATTTTACAAAGATCACTCCTGATAAAGCTTGAGTTATAGCAGCATAAACTAGCAGATGAGGTTACTCTGCATGTAATTATGTGATGCTTATAACACAGCCCAAGATATAGGTAATAGGGCTACTTATTAAAATAATACAGGAGGGATATAATTAGTATATTCTTACAT
This sequence comes from Homo sapiens, assembly GCF_000001405.40. NCBI lineage: Eukaryota > Metazoa > Chordata > Mammalia > Primates > Hominidae > Homo > Homo sapiens. Next base: position 148,358,401 of record NC_000002.12, read on the forward strand.
ATAAAGAAATAAGTGGATTAATATTTAAAGGAATGCAACCACCTAGGAACAAGTTAAATACAATACTTTCTCCTATTATAAAGCAAAATAGGCTGGGTGCAGTGGCTCACGCCTGTAAGTGCTCACACAGCACTTTGGGAGGCCAAGGCAAGTGGATCACTTGAGCTGTGAAATTCCAGACCAGCCTGGGCAACAGGTGAAACCCCCACTAAAAATACAAAAAAAAAAAAAAAAAAAGCTGGGTGTGGTGGTACACGCATGTGGTCTCAGCTACTCAGGAGGCTGAGGAGCGGATCGCTTGAGGTGGGGGTTGGGGATGGGTGGATGAAGGCTGCAGTGAGCGGCATGCCACTGCACTCCAGCCGGGGTGACAAGAGTGAGAACCTGTCTTAAAAAAATTAAAAGACAAAATATAATTTATTCTCCAGGGCAAAATTGAAGTGACTCTTTTCAGAAATAATCTAATCTCTACCTACTCTACCAGTGCTTTCTATCACTTGATTTCAATGTTATTTTGCATAGAGTAGCAGTAAGTTAGCTTTATACCAGCCTTGGACTTCTAGAAATTTATAGTCTTTTGACGGGGTGTGGTGGCTCAAGCCTGTAATCCCAGCACTTTGGGAGGCCGAGGCACATGGATCACCTGAGGTCAGGAGTTCAAGACCAGCCTGGGCGACATGGTGAAACCCCATCTCTACTAAAAATACAAAAATTAGCCAGGCTTGGTGGCACCCTGCACGCCTGTAGTCCCAGCTATTTGGGAGGCAGAGGCATGAGAATCACTTGAACTTGGGAGGAGGAGGTTGCAGTGAGGCATTATCACACCACTGCACTTCAGCCTTGATGACAGAGTAAGGCTCTGTCTCAAAAAAAAAAAAAAAAAATTGTAGTGTTTTATTTTCAGTTAACAGCAATAAGGATCAAAATGCTATTTCATAGGGTGGTAATGATGAATAAAATGAGATAAAACATATCATGTTCATTTTTGCTCTTTCTTTGTGCTATATACCCATTTTTAAACCGCTTCTAGAATATCTCCATAACTATAGTAAATTCTCTAATATCAAAATCCTCCTACTATATGAAAATTTTGGTCCTTTAAAAGGGCACTATTGCCAAATAATGGAGTGTGATATGTAAAAAGCATTTTTCTTGCCTTCTTAAGTCTTAAGAAAGGCTTTGCAGTCTTAAGCAGCTCCTTTGTGTACTCGATTGAAAGATCCTTGTAAGCTTTAGTGCCATTAAAAAAATACATTGTTTATAGCCAGTTCTATAGATCTTTTTGATAATAGGAATAAACTCTTTATCAAAGCATGATCTCTATGAATCCTAGTCATTTAAATGTGGTTTTTCAATGTTACCCATTTTAATTGTTGTGCTGGCATATGTGACTGCTCTTTATGTATTGCTTTTCAAATAGATTAAGAAAAATTCACTGAAAAAGTTGTTTTCATTTCTGTCTCCCTTTAAAAGAAGTATACATATATAAAAGTTATATGTGGTAGCAGTTTTATTATAGATTATTAGGGACTCTCATTTTGCTGAGACACATATTTACTTCCTGTCCTTCACATAAAAACTTGGAAAAAGGGCAAGAAGAAATTTTAAATCCATAACTGAATAAATTCACTAGATTTCAAGGAAAATAATAAAATTATAGCAAAGATCATTTCAGGTTTCAAATATCTGTAACTGTATATTATTATGGCTGAAAGAAATTGCAAATGCAGTGTGCATTTTTCATAATCAAAATGTATTATAAACCCTCCATGTCTCTTTTATATAAATAAAAAGGATTATAATTTCAAATATCATTATTATCATATCTGTTTGCCTTTATTATAAGTGGAAGCTGTAGTTTCTGATTACCTCTAACTACTGCTGGATTTTTCCCTAAAGTGCATATATTTTTTGGATTAACAACACATTTATTTTTAGTATATGTTCTTTTTACCTGCTTCTGACCATTCAGTGTGCACATACACACACACATCTCAGAGAATAGGAAAAACAAAAGACATTTTATTAAGTAAATAATACTCTGCAAAGGTTTTATTTGGTTTACATAATAGATGAGAAGTTCCTTTTTGGGATACTGTCTTCTATTTTATGTAGGAATTATTTTTAAAACCATGATATCCTAGGATTTTTTAAAATGTATTTTGCATGTTATGATTTTCTGGTGGCTATACAGAAATCTTCCTGCTTTTTTTCCCCTATTCACAGTATTCAAAGTAGTCCATGTGACCTAGATATTGAAAATCTAGGTAGAGTGTGCTGCATTGCTGATATTTACTGTGAAACCTTAGAAACATTCTGGTACCACATGCTGGAATTACAGGGTGCACACTGTTTAATATTGCTGGTATTTTTGTGACAGTCTATATGATCATTTTTCTAAGCTGGCATTAAAATTGTTGAAAAATATTCAAAAACAAATAAAAAATAATGTTTTTATATTTCAGTTAAAATGCACATATAATCAATGTTCATTTTAAAATTTTAGCTCAGACTAGGTAAGTTTTATTATGAGTTTTCCCACCATTATTTACCTTGTATTTAGAATTATCATAATCTGCTAACTATAAAAATCTTCCCTCCGCTCCCCTCCTCTCCTTCCATGTTTTTATTGAGAAGAAAAATAAGAAAAAAAGTGCTGGGTTGGGGCCAGGCGTGGTGGCTCATGCCTATAATGCCAACACGTTGGGAGGCCGAGGCAGCCGGATCACAAGGTCAGGGGTTCAAAACCAGCCAGCCTGGCCAACATTGTGAAACCCAATCTCTACTAAAAATACAAAAATTAGCCAGGTGAGGTGGCACATGCCTGTAATCCTAGCTACTGGGGAGGCTGAGGGAGGAGAATCTCTTGAACCCAGGAGGTGAAAGTTGCAGTGAGCCAAGATTGCACAACTGCATTGCAGCCTGGGTGACAGAGTGAGACTCTGTCTCAAAAACACAAACAAAACAAAAAAAAAAACGTGTTGGATTTACAGATTTCTTTTCAGTACATATTCTTCTGAACATCAGTTGGGACACTGACTCCCCTGTTTTATTAGTATTTCCAAACAGAAATCTGTTGCAGAGCCATTTTTAAAAGGTAGGGTATATGTTGAATGACTGGCTTAACAATTTGTCCAATATTAACTAATGTAGCCTTTTGCAACATTGCCCAGGATCTAGGCTATGAAACAAGAAGGGCTCACATTATCTATATAGTCAGAGAAATAGGAACTTAACAATAGTTATTTTTAAAGACACGTTGCCAATCCCATAGTTTGGACAACAATCACTAGATGTTAATAAGAGCATCAAAATGGTGGTGGCTGCCAAGATGGCCAAATAGGAACAGCTCCGGTCTGCAGCTCCCAGCGAGATCAACGCAGAAGGCGGGTAATTTCTGTATTTCTAACTGAGGTACCCAGCTCATCTCATTGGAACTAGTTAGACAGTGAGTGCAGCCCTCCCGACTGGGGAAGCACAAGGGGTTGGGGAACTCCCTCCCCTAGCCAAGGGAAGACAGGAGAGACTGTGCCATGCGGAACAGTGCACTCGGGCCCAGATACTACGCTTTTCCCATGGTCTTTGCAACTGCAGATCAGGAGATTCCCTCGGGTGCCTACACCACCAGGGCCCTGGGTTTCAAGCACAAAACTGGGTGGCCATTTGGGCAAACACCGAGCTAGCTGCCGGAGTTTTTTTCATACCCCAGTGGCCCCTGGAATGCCAGCAAGACAGAACCATTCACTCTCCTGGAAAGGGGGCTGAAGCCAGGGAGCCAAGTGGTCTAGCTCAGCGGATCCCAGCCCCACAGAGCGCAGCAAGCTAAGATCCACTGGCTTGAAATTCTCAGGTCAGCACAGCAGCCTGAAGTGAACCTGAGATGGTGGAGCTTGGTGGGGGGAGGGGCATCCACCATTACTGAGGCTTCAGTAGGCGATTTTCCCCTCACAGTGTAAACAAGGCCATCAGGAAGTTCGAACTGGGCGGAGATCACTGCAGCTCAGCAAAGCCACTGTAGCCAGACTGCCTCTCTAGATCCCTCCTCTGTTGGCAGGGCATCTCTAAAAGAAAGGCAGCATCCCCAGTCAGGGACATATACATAAAACTCCCATCTCCCTGGGACAGAGCACCAGGGGAAAGGAACAGCTGTGTGCACAGCTTCAGCCAACTTAAAGGTTCCTTCCTACTGGCTCTGAAGAGAGCAGTGCATCTCCCGGCACAATGCTCGAGCTCCGCTAACTGACAGACTACCTCTTCAAGTGGGTCCCTGACCCCCGTGCCTCCTGACTGGGAGACACTTCCCAGCAGGGGTCGACAGACACCTCACACAGGAGAACTCCAGCTGGCATCTAGTGGGTGCTACTCTGGGACAAAGATTCCAGAGGAAGGAATAGGCAGCAGTCTTTGCTGTTCTTCAGCCTTTGCTGGTGATACCCAGGCAAACAGGGTCTGGAGTGGACCTCCAGCAAACTCCAGCAGACCTGCAGCAAAGGGGCCTGACTGTTACAAGGATAACTAGCAAACAGAAAGGAATAGCATCAACATCAACAAAAAGGAAATCCATTCAGAGACCCCATCTGAAGGTCACCAACACAAAGACCAAAGGTAGATAAATCAATGAAGATGAGGAAAAAACAGTGCAAAACGGCTGAAAATTCCAAAACCCAGAATGCCTCTTCTCCTCCAAGTGATCACAACTCCTTGCCAGCAAAGGAACAAAACTGGACAGAGAATGAGTTTAACGAATTGACAGAAGTAGGCTTCAGAAAGTGGGTAATAACACACTCCTCCGAGCTAAAGGAGCATATTCTAACCCAATGAAAGGAAGCTAAGAACCTTTTCTTTTTTTTGAGACAGAGTCTCACTCTGTCACCCAGGCTGGAGTGCAGTGGCGCAATCTTGGCTCACTGCCAGCTCCACCTCCTGGGTTCACACCATTCTCCTGCCTCAGCCTCCCGAGTAGCTGTGACTACAGGCGCCCGCCACCACGCCCGGCTAATTTTTTTGTATTTTTTGTAGAGACGGGGTTTCGCTGTGTTAGCCAGGATGGTCTCAATCTCCTGACCTCGTGATCCACCTACCTCGGCCTCCCAAAGTGCTGGGATTACAGGCATGAGCCACCACACGCAGCCTCTGAGAACCTTGAGAAAAGGTTAGACAAATTGCTAACTAAAATAACCAGTTAAGAAAAGACCTGTTCTGCAGCCTCTGCTGGTGATACCCAGGCAAACAGGGTCTGGAGTGGACCTCTATACCTGATGGAGCTGAAAAATACAGCATGAGAACTTCATGAAGCATACACAAGTATCAATAGCTGAATCAATCAAGCGGAAAAAAGGATATCAGAGATTGAAGATCAACTTAATGAAATAAAGTGTGAAGACTAGATTAGAGAAAAAAGAATGAAAAGGAACAAACAAACCCTCCAAGAAATATGGGACTATGTGAAAAGACCAAACCTGTGTTTGATTGGTGTACCTGAAAGTGACGGGGAGAATGGAACCAAGTTGGAAAACACTCTTCAGGATATTATTCAGGAGAACTTCCCCAACCTAGCAAGACGGGCCAACATTCAAATTCAGGAAATACAGAGAACGCCACAAAGATACTCCTCAAGAAGAGCAACCCAAGACACATAATCGACAGATTCGCCAAGGTTGAAATGAAGGAAAAAATATTAAGGGCAGAAGAGAGAAAGGTCAGGTTATCCACAAAGGGAATCCCATCAGGCTAACAGCAGATATCTCAGTAGAAACCCTACAAGCCAGAAAAGAGTGGGGGCCAATATTCAACATTCTTAAAGAAAAGAATTTTCAACCCAGAATTTCATATCCAGCCAAACAAAGCTTCATAAGCGAAGGATAAATAAAATCCTTTACAGACAAGCAAATGCTGAGAGATTTTGTCACCACCAGGCCTACCTTACAAGAGCTCCTGAAGGAAGCCCTAAATATGGAAAAGGAAAACTGGTACCAGCCACTGCAAAAACATACCAAATTGTAAAGACCATTGACATTATGAATAAACTGCATCAACTAACGGGCAAAATAACTAACTAGCATCATAATGACAGGATCAAATTCACACATAACAGTATTAACCTTTAATGTAAATGGGTTAAATGCCCCAATTAGACACAGGCTGGCAAATCGGACAAAGTGTCAAGACCCATTAGTGTGCTGTATTCAGGAGACCCATCTCACACGCAAAGACACACATAGGCTCAGAATAAAGGGATGGAGGAATATTTACCAAGCAAATGGAAAGCAATAAAAAGCAGGGGTTGCAATCCTAGTCTCTGGTAAAAGAGGGTTTAAACCAATAAAGATCAAAAAAGACAAAGAAGGGCTTTACATAATGGTAAAGGGATCAATGCAACAAGAAGAGCTAACTATCCTAAATATATATGCACCCAATAGGGGAGCACCCAGATTCATAAAGCAAGTTCTTAGAGACCCACAAAGAGACTTAAACTGCCACACAATAATAGTGAGAGACTTTCACACCCAAATGTCAATATTAGGTCAACAGGACAGAAAATTAACAAGGATATTCAGGACGTGAACTCAGCTCTGGACCAAGCAGACCTAATAGACATTTACAGAACTCTCCACCCCAAATCAACAGAATATACATTCTTCTCAGCACCACATCACACTTATTCTAAAATTGACCACATAATTGAAAGTAAAGCACTCCTCAGCAAATGCAAAAGAACAGAAATCTTAACAAACAAGTCTCTCAGACCACAGTGCAATCAAATTAGAACTCAGGATTACAAAACTCACTCAAAACCACACAAATACATGGAAACTAAACAACCTGCTCCTGAATAACTACTGGGTTAATAACAAAATTAACACAGAAATAAATAAGTTCTTTGAAACCAATGAGAACAAAGACACAACATACCAGAATCTCTGAGACACAGCCAAAGCAGTCTTAGAGGGACATTTATAGCACCAAATGCCCACAGGAGAAAGCAGGAAAGATCTAAAACCGACACCCTAACATCACAATTAAAAGGAGTAGAGAAGCAAGAGCAAACACATTCAAAAGCTAGCAGAAGACAAGAAATAAACAAGATCAGAGCAGAACTGAAGGAGATGAACCCTTCAAAAATTCAAGGAATTGAGGAGCTGATTTTTTGAAAAGATTAACAAAATACATAGACCACTAGCCAGACCAATAAAAAAGAAAAAGGAGAAGAATCAAATAGACACAATAAAAAATGATAAAGGGGCTATCACCACTGATCCCACCAAAATACAAACTGCTATCAGATAATACTATAAACCCCTCTATGCAAATAAACTAGAAAATATAGAGGAAATGGATAAATTCCTAGACACATGCACCCTCCCATGACTAAGCTAGGAAGAAGTCGAATCACTGAATAGACCAATAAAAAGTTCTGAAGTTGAGACAGTAATTAACACTCTACCAAAAAAAAAACCCCAGACCAGATGGATGCCCAGGTGAATTCTACCAGAAGTACAAAGAGGAGCTGGTACCATTCCTTCTGAAACTATTCCAAACAAAAGAAAAAGAGGGACTCCTCCCTAACTCATTTTATGAGGCCAGCATCATCCTGATACCAAAAGCTAGCAGAGACACAACAGAAATACTAAATCTCAGGCCAATATCCTTGATGAATATCGATGTAAAAATCCTCAATAAAATGCTGGCAGACAGAATCCAGCAGTACATCAGAAAGCTCATCCACCATGATCGAGTCGACTTCATACCTGGGATGCAAGCCTGGTTCAACACATGCAGATCAATAAATGCAATCCATGACATAAATAGAACAAATGACAAAAACCACATGATTATCTCAATAGATGCAAAAAAGGCCTTCGATAAAATCCAACACCCCTTCATGCTAAAAACTATCAATAAACTAGGTATTGATGGAACGTATCTCAAAATAATGAAAGCTATTTATGACAAACCCACAGCCAATATCATACTGAATGACCAAAAGCCGGAAGCATTCCCTCTGAAAACCAGCACAAGACAAGGATGCCCTCTGTCACCATTCCTATTCAACATAGTGTTGGAAGTTCTGGCCAGGGCAGTCAGGCAAGAGAAAGAAATAAAGGGTATTCAGATAAGAAAAGACAAAGTCAACTTGTCCCTGTTTGCAGATGCCATGATTGTATATTTAGAAAACCCCATTGTCTCAGCCCAAAATCTCCTTAGGCTGATGAGCAACTTCAGCAAAGTCTCAGGATACAAAATCAATGTGCAAAAATCACAAGCATTCCTATACACCAATAATAAACAAGCGGAGAGCCAAATCATGAGTGAACTCCCATTTACAATTGCTACAAAGAGAATAAAATACCTAGGAATACAACTTACAAGGGATGTGAAGGGCCTCTTCAAGGAGAACTACAGACCACTGCTGAAGAAAATAAGAGAGGACACAAACAAATGGAAAACATTCCATGCTCATGGATAGGAAGAATCAGTATTGTGAAAATGGGCCATAGTATGCAAAGTAATTTATAGATTCAATGTTATCCCCATTAAGCTACCATTGACTTTCCTCACAGAATTAGAAAAAACTACTTTAAATTTAATATGGAACCAAAGAAGAGCCCATATAGCCAAGACAATTCTAAGCAAAAAGAACAAAGCTGGAGGCTTCACACTACCTGACTTCAAATTATACTACAAGGCTACAGTAATGAAAACAGCATGGTACTGGTATCAAAACAGATATATAGACCAATGGAACAGAACAGAGGCCTCAGAAATAACACCACACATCTACAACCATCTGATCTTTGACAAACCTGACAAAAACAAGCAATGGGGAAAGATTCCCTATTTAATAAATGGCGTTGGGAAAACCAGCTAGCCATATGCAGAAAACAGAAACTGGACCCCTTCCTTACACCTTATACAAAAATGAACTCAAGATGGATTAAAGACTTAAACGTAAGACCCAAAACCATAAAAACCCTAGAAGAAAACCTAGGCAATACCATTCAGGACATAGACATGGGCAAAGCCTTCATGACCAAAACACCAAAAGCAATGGCAACAAAAGCCAAAATTGACAAACAGGATCTAATTAAACTAAAGAGCTTCTGCACAGCAAAAGAAACTGTCATCAGAGTGAACAGGCAACCTACAGAATGGGAGAAAATTTTTGCAATCTATCTATCTGACAAAGGGCTAATATCCAGAATGTACAAGGAACTTAAGTAAATTTACAAGAAAAAAACAAACAACCCCATCAAAAAATGGGAGAAGTATATGAACAGATATTTCTCAAAAGAAGACATTTATGCAGCCAACAAACATATGAACAAAAGCTCTTTATCACTGGTCATTAGAGAAATGCAAATTAAAACCACAATGAGATAGCATTTCACACCAGTTAGAATGGCAATTATTAAAAAGTCAGGAAACAACAGATTCTGAAGGGGATGGGGAGAAATAGTACACTTTTACACCATTGGTGGGAGTGTAAATTAATTCAATTATTGTGGAAGACAGTGTGGCGATTCCTCAAGGATCTAAACCAGAAATACCACTTGACCCAGCAATCCCATTACTGGTTATATACCCAAAGGATTATAAATCATTCTACTATAAAGACACATGCTCATGTACGTTTATTGCAGCATTATTCACAATGGCAAAGACTTGGAACCACTCCAAATGCTCGTCAGTGATAGACTGGATTAAGAAAATGTGGCACATATACACCATGGGATACTATGCAGCCATTAAAAAGTATGAGTTCATGTCCTCTGCAGGGTCATGGATGAAGCTGGAAGCCATCATTCTCAGCAAACTAACACAGAAACAGAAAACCAAACACCGCATGTTCTCACTCATAAGTGGGAACCGTACAATGAGAACATATGGGCACAGGGAGGGGAACATCACACACTGGGGCCTGTCAGGGGTTAGGGGGTATGGAAGGGATAGCATTAGGAGAAATACCTAATGTAGATGATGGGTTGATGGGTGCAGCAAACCACCATGGCATGTGTATACCTATGTAACAATCCTGCACATTCTGCACATGTATCCCAACTTAAAGTATTAAAAAAAATAAAAACTTTTTTAAAATAAATAAAAACAAAAAATATTTAAAAAGAGCATCAAAATGTGTTTCACAATAGTTACCTTCTGCTCTTACTAATTCTTGGTAAAGGGACTCCAACTGAAGCAGTACTAAGGCGGTCTTGTGTTAACGTAGTCCCAGCAGCCAAATGTGGGGCAATTTGAGCATTAAGATAAATAATGATAATAATGAATTATAACACACTATATAAAATGAGAATCTTATCAATCCAGACCAATATAAATGAATACATAAATGAAGGAGAACAGAAAATTCTTTCTTACATCAGAATGCCAACTAATAGAAGGGATAATAGAGTTAGAAAATGATTTTATAACTCTATTATCCCTTCTATTAGATGCTAAAATTAGCGAGTAAAATTTTATATTAGTTTCAAAATATTCAAAATTTAATTATAAAGGAAACCTACTAATTTGACAGTGGAGAAACCAATGGATATCACATTAACAAAGTGATCATAGTTACCACCACCAATATTGTAATAAACTTTCATTTCCTGTGTCTCCTGATATGATGCATGGAGAAGGACACAGCATCGCCTCTGTAATATTCCCACTAAAATGCGTGACCTCAATTGAATTATGAGGAAACATCAGACAAATTCAACATGTGGTAAAAATTTTTAACAAAATGACCGGCCTACATTCTTCAAAAGTGCCAAAGTCATGAAAAAGAAAGACTAAGTAGTGGTTCCATTTTTCAAAAAACTTAAAAAAAAAAAAAGTAGGAAACTGAAGACACTTAACAACTAAATGTCATGTGATAATTGATTGGTTCTTGGCCTAGGGTTTTTTTTCAATCTATAAAATCCCACAAAGGGCATTGTTGGGACAATTACAAAAATTGAATAGCGTATGTAGATTAGATACATTACTTTTTTAATTTGATAAGTTGTATTGTAATTATGCAAGAGAATATCCCTGTTCTAAGGAAATGAAGTATTTAGGGGTAAATTGGAACATTGCTCCAGTTTACTCTCAAAGATTCCAGAAGTACAAATTAAGCAGATAGATGCTAAGATGACAAATTAAATAGAGAAAAATGAAAATCATTGAGGAATCTGGATAAAGAGTTACAAGAGTCCCTCAGCCTATTCTTGCAGCTTTTCTGTGTGTTTGAATATATACTGAAATAAAAAGTTGTAATACTTTTTCTTTTTGTTGTAATACTTTTTGTTGTGATTGTTTTTATTTCAATAGCTTTTGGTATACTCCTGTGTTCAAATCAATAAAATTATGAAGCAAAATTACAGTGACTAATCTGCCTCCCTCAAGAAAAGATAGTTTATGTTATATTTGTGAGCCATGTTAAATTCTTTATGTTAAATGTACCATTTGAATTCAGGATATTAATATTTTAAGTGAATGCACTTAGGGGATGTATAATAGATAGCTATTTCAAAACACATAAAACTACTACATCCAGTCTCTTCCAATCCCCACCCCACCTACCATACATTTACTCATTCTTTATTCCCCACTTTACCTGGCTAATTGAAGTGTAACAAAAGCTTCATCCAGGAACATTTTTCTTCCTCTATATTTTATACTAAATTATTATCATCACTTTATAAAGGTGATAGATTACATATTAAATTGAGAAACATGTTTTGTTAAAAAAGACTTTGTGCAAGAAATTGTCTAGTTGTTGATACTTGCTTTGTATCATAAATTACCATAATGTTTGTATTTTTAAAATGGGACAATTATCAAAATATCCTCAATTTTAAATATTTTGCCTGCATCATGGTTTTTAAAAACTTGGCACAATATATTTACATTATATTTTCTTACTTTAATATAAATTCTGCCTTCATTGTACTGATGAGCTATCTGGTCTGTATTCCCAGAAATGTAGTATTACACCTTTCTGTTCAGAAGTTAAATATTACTGTTTGGTGATTTTTTGACAATGAGAGTTAGTAAATTCAAAGTAAAATACAGATGACAAAAATTGCACGATAGCCTATTTATTTATTTATTTATTTATTATTTACTTATTTTGAGATGGAGTCTCACTCAGGCTGGAGTGCAGTGATGTGATCTTGGCTCACTGCAACCTCTGCCCACTGGGCTCAAGTGATCCTGCTGCCTCAGCCTCCCAAGTAGCTGGGACCATGGATGTGCACCACTACACTTGGCTAATGTATGTATTTTTAGTAGAGACAGGGTTTCACTGTGTTGCCCAGGCTGGTCTCGAACTCCTGAGCCCAAGAGATCAGCCTGCCTCAGCCTCCCAGATTACTGGGATTACAGGCATGAGTCTCCATGCTGGCTGATAGCCTAATTTTTTTAAAGATATTTACCATTTAATAGGAAATTAGGAGAAAAAGACTGTTACAGATTCAGATAGTACCTGCTTTAATTTTTTTAATCTAAGAGTCCAAACCAAAGCAAGAATATAGATGAGGGATAACTAGGAACCAAGTATTTGCAAATATATGAGTATATTTGAAGCAGGATTTTAATATAGTTTGGTGTTTCTGTTTAAGAAGGAATATTGTTATTCTCAACATTATAAGCGTTAAGAAAGAAAGGATTGTCTTCTCATGGAACATTTAGTAGCTTTCTAAGGAAAGATATATGTATAAGCATTTCAAAAAATTATTTCTATTTTCTGCTGTTCCTTAGTTTTTTAAAATTCCATCAAGAATTTTAAAGTCTACATTTAAAATGTACTGAATAAAACATGTTAATACTCTTGCCCTTTTAATGACCATATAATTTCTATGAGAAAATGGTCATGTGTCATCATGTAAATGATTTTATAGAATTAAATCTTGGAGCTCTTATTTACAACAGAAAGAATCCCACATCAATGTTGACCTACTTTTTTCCCCCTCAATTAGATATTTTTTAGCAAGAGAATAACTGTCTCACACCAGGATATGAAGCCAGAATTCTTATTGTAACATATTAAAAAAAGAGAAACTCTTTCTTGCTGTGTTTCTGTAATCTGAATATAAAGTTACACTGTATCAACAACCAACAGATGGAGAAAAAGAACACTCTAGGAAACTAGGCTATAAATATTACGTTAATTCCAGAACTTCCAAGATTTTCTAGATTTTGCTAAAGCATCCCTAAAGTGTGTGATCTTTTAGTAAGAAATTAATAACTTAGAGTGGAAAAGAAGGGCACAGAATTTCAAGTCAAGGCCTGTTTATTACATCAGGCAGTTTTCATCATTTTCTTATACTTAACGTGAGAGCCATTTTTGGTTCTGAATTCCTAACTTGTAGGATTTCAAAGTAGTAGCTCCATCAGGAATTAAAAAATGACTTTTTCCCTCCATCAGTGTTGTGATTCTCTTATTATACATGTAGTGAACTTCCTATAAAAACATCAACATATTAAAGTCACCCTTGATATTGGTGATTGAATACACTATTGAAAAACCTGCTTTGGCTTATATTCATTTAGCTTATATCATATACATATGTACCAAATACTGTGGTTGAGCTAAAGCTGTAGACATAGAAGATACAGTCCCCATTCTCAACTTGTTTAAAACAAGCAAACTGGACCATGATAAGCTAATATAATAAATATGACAAAAGTAAGTAAAACACTCTATGGAACTATGTAGTAAGAGCTGCTAGCCCATATGGGGTAGTTATGAAAGTCAGTGATTTTGATTACCCAAGTTACAAACAGAAAAATATAAATGAATTTTGGATCCAAATCACGTTATCTAAAGATAAACAGCAGTTTTAATAACATTACCAATACACTGAATGACTAGGATATGCTAAGTGTTAACAACAAATACAATCTTATCATCTACATTAGAGATCTAAAATAATAATAATGAAGATTTTTTCCTAAGAAAATATTTGTCTTATTTCTTCTGATTGTTGGGCTCTTTATTGTTAATTGGTATACAACAATTCAAGCCACACAATCGACCTTTTCAGAGTGACACAGCGAAAAGAATATGTGTTTATTAATGAAAATCCATGCTTTACTACTAGAAACACAAGTCAAATTCGTGGCCTACTAATGATAGATCATGAGGTTCATCCTTATGTAAAGGACAGTAACCTCATGGTTACACTGTGAGCCCTCACTGGTGGGAAAAGCATTATGATATGTTGTTTGAGAAAGATAGTAGTGGTGAATTTGGAGAAATGGCCTTGGACAAAGAGGGAGATTGCCAAATATAAGAAAAAGTGTGAATACAGAATTGAGATGAAAGACAAGAGCTTGAGAAAGGTTAGCAAAGAGAATGCGAGTGTAAGTGAAGTAAGTGGAAGAGAGTATAGTGGGCTCAAGAAACTCGAAGTGTTTGATAGCTAAATATCATGAAAAAAAGACTTAGTGGAAAGTAACTTCTACTTGAACCTGGAATGTTGGGCAGTCATTGTTACTCTCTATAATTTTTCCTCTGATTTTCCACCGACTCTGCTAGCAAGGCAACTGAGTAATAGTAATTTAGCCTTTGAGCAATTATTCTAATTAGCTCTCTGTAGTATAATAAAGACCTACATCTTTTCTTTTGGTTACATGCTATAATAAACACATAGTTTAGCTGTGGATAGTCTTTACCATTTTTTAAAGAATTACGTTTTGATATGGCTACAATATTGAATTTTAACTTCGGTGAATAAACAGATTTTAATGAAAAATTGAAAGTCAGTTCTCTTTTACCACAGGAAAGCAAGAAGGCCTGTTTTTGAATAGGTTTCAATATTCAAAGCTTTCAGAGAACAGAGGGAAGGGATATCTTTGATAAGATTTTATTTATTTAAATTTTATTTCCACTCATGATTTTGGTAGATTTCCATCAATTCTGGATGTAATACTCTTGTTCATTGGTAGCATTGCATTACAGTGAGAAGTGCATATTGAATAACCAGATAATGACCTAACACAGTAATGAACCTTGCTGATTTGGATTAATTATAGGGAAAAATACAAACATGTTCTTCTATATTCGTTATTGGAAGGACAAGTTTTACAAATACCATTTTAGCTTTCACTTATCATATATTATATGCATTATCCATCTGATGATAGATAAACCATAAGGCTTTCTAGAGCATGCTATTCTAGAGCCTTTAAGATTTTCAAAATTTCAAATTAATAGTACATATGTGGCATAAATATTGATGAATTTAATATAAATTTAAAAATAACAACCTCTCTATATGCAAAGTACCTTTTTTAGAGACTCTTGAGATGAGTAACATTTATTAGAAGATTGTTAATGAAAGCACAAACCAAATAAGCTACTCTCAGTGATCAGGTGACTACAATTCTTTTAAAAATGTTTGTTGATTAGAATTATTCATAATACTTTAATTGACTTTGTGGCTTTCCTCTGTCCTCTGTCCTTATTTAGTGTGTTTCTTTCAGTGATGAATACAGGCTTACCTTATATCAGTAGTAACATAATACAGGCTGGGCATCCATAACCCAAAAAATCCAAAATGCCCCAAAATCAGAAACTTAGCCCAATATAAGGCTCAAAGGAAATGCTCATGGGAGCATTTTGGATTTCAGATTTTCAGATTAGGGCTGCTGAACTGATAAGTATAATGCAAATATTCCAAAATTCTTCTGGTTCCAAGCATTTCGGATAAGGGGTACTCAACCTATATACCAAAATGTTTGATTGGGTTGTAGTGACTTACTAGATGCCAATTTGCCAAACCCAGAATGTTGCTTAGCTTTGTACTTTGCACACAAAGCCCATTTCCTTATTCCAAACTAAATATGTTTATGCATACACACACACACACACACACACACACACACACACACGAACATGCATATGCCCATGTATTTTCTTACTACAAAGTCAGATGGTGGAACAATTCTGAATGTATATGTAGATAGTTAACTGTCCTCAATTACCATATTGTGTCTTACATTGTAAAAGACCCTTGAGCAACATTAAACAATATGCGACTTCCTTTTATTTTTCTTGTTACAAGTCTTACTGAGATATCCAGTTGTTGTTTTTTATTACTTCCATAAATTATAGTTAGTTAGCAAGTGCTTATTGAATGCTTTCTAAGTGTAATGTAGAATTTAAAGTGATATTAAAGAAAATTAAGGCCTAGCGCCTGTTGACCTTCCGTTTGAAGTTTTTCTCCACAGTAGGTGGGCCTGAAGGTGACCCATATGCTCCTTCACCCTGAGGTTAAGGTGCAAAAGACAAAGTACCTCCTCTCAGGATTCTGGGATATTACAGAAGATGATCGCTCAGGCAGACGTGCAAATTGGTACAATAGATACAGAATAATCATAGTACAAATTATACTATCCTCTTGAATTGTCATGCCTAGCTTCCTTTCTCCCACACATGCGTATGACTATTCTCCCACACATGCGTATGACTATACTTATATTTTAAATTATTTTTTACTCCTATGTATGCTTTTTTCTTAATATTAGAAAACAATACTATTTAAAATACTTGATTGCTTATCCAACTTAGTGATATTATTTTGAATTCATTTAAGTTCTTAGCTAGCATTGCTTAATACCTGGTGTGTATAAATATTATGCTAAATATCGATCCTGAATGCTACAGTCTCAGACTTCTCATATTTTAGCATCTTCTCCAAAGTATAATACAAGTCATCAATGAAAATACAGTAAGCACCAGATTCAAAACTTTATGGTTTCATAGCATATCTTAGGCCTCCTAACTGCTGAATCTTCAGTAACTTTATAAAAAATAATTTAGGAAAGAAATTTTTTTACATTTTACACTTTTCTACCAGTCAGTATTCTTTATTGCAAACCACATAATCCTCACTGACCAGTATAACAGCAAAAGGAACATGTTAAAGTTATCTCTGACTTTGCTAACAGACATCAGCAAGACAAGAGCTGGCTTTGGAGTTGTCTAATCAGTAATGTTGTGCGAGCACATTCCAGGAGCTTGATCCACTGCATGCAGCACTTACTATGCACGAATCTGAACACCACTCTCATCCCCAAGGAACCTGATTAGTCTTCCAACAAATCAAATCCCTCAGGAAGATTTGCATCCCCAGTTCGTTTGCTTCCAATTTCAAATCATATTCTGTGGATTACATTGCTGGGATATGGGGTACTTGCCTTGCTGTTAGCAGTCTGGAAATGCTAGTTTTCTGATTTCTGCCTTAAGAAGATTGAAGCCATTTCATAGAAAATTATCAAAATATAAGGAAAGTGTTCAAAATTTGGGGGCTGTCACAGGTCATAGATGTCCACCAATACCAATGAACTAGATTAATTTTCATCTTAAATCTTCATTGCATTATTTTAAATTTCTAAGGATCAGATATTTCTTTGGGAAATTTACCCCTATTTTTGCCTTCAGTAATCATCCAAATTATTTTCTCAGTAAATCACTCCCACCAAATGTTAGCTGCTCTGACTATCATCGTTCATACTTGAGTGAAAGGGAGAAGCACATCTGGGGTTGTAGTATAGAATTTTTTATCCTTAGCACTATTGACATTTTAAAGTGAATAATTCTTTGTTATTGGGGCTTTCCTGTGCATTGTAGGATGTTTAGCAGCATCCCTGGCCTCTGCCTACTAGATGCCAATAGCATACATACACATACTCAGAATGATAATCAAGATTGTCTTCCCTTGAGGGGTCCTAAGGGAAGTTTCCAAGGTACTAGTTCTCTATCCTGTTTGACCTGATGCTGATTATATGGGTGTGTTCACTTTGTAAAAATTTGTTAAGCTCTACATGTATGATTTGTACCCTTTAAAAATATTCTTATTATATTTCTTTTTTTTCTTTTCTTTTCTTTTTTTTTTTTTGAGACGGAGTCTCACTCTGTCGCCCAGGCTGGAGTGCAGCGGCGCAGTCTCGGCTCACTGCAAGTTCCGCCTCCTGGGTTCACGTCATTCTCCTGCCTCAGCCTCCCGAGTAGCTGGGACTACAGGCGCCCGCCACAACGCCCGGCTAATTTTTTGTATTTTTAGCAGAGACGGGGTTTCACTGTGTCAGCCAGGATGGTCTCAATCTCCTGACCTTGTGATCCACCCACCTCTGCCTCCCAAAGTGCTGGGATTACAGGCGTGAGCCACCGCGCCCGGCCAAAAATATTCATGTTATATTTCAATAAAATGTACTTAGTGTTTATGAAGAAAAAAATTGTCTTCATACATTGACAGATACTAGATTAGGGTACTGTATTGGTCAGGGTTCTCTAGAGGGGCAGAACTGATAGGATATATATATCCTATTATATATCTAATATATAATTATATTATATATTATAATTATATATATTTATATAATTATACTATTATAATTTATATATATAATTTTATATATAATATTATAATTTATATAATATATATAACATATATATAATTATATATTATAATCATATATATAATTATATATTATATATAATTATATTATATACCATATATGGTATATTGAGTATATAAATAGAGAGTTAGCAAGTACTTATTGAATGCTTTCTAAGTGTAATGTAGAATTTAAAGGATACATTTAGAGAGAGAGGATATATATATATATGGGATATGTATACAGATATATATATATCCTATTTATCCTATTAGTTCTCTCCCTATATATATAAAGGGGAGTTTATTAAGTAGTATTAACTCACGCAATCACAAGATCCCACAATAGACCATCTGCAAGCTGAGGAGCAAGGAAGCCAGTCCAAGTCCCAAAGCTGAAGAACCTGGAGTCGGATGTTCAAAGGCATTCAGCACGGGAAAAGGATGTAGGCTGGGAGGCTAAGCCAGTCTAGCCTTTTCACATTTTTCTACCTGCTTTATATCCTGGCCATGCTGGCAGCTGATTAGATGGTGTCTACCCAGGTTAAGGGTGGGTCTGCCTTTCCCAGCCCACTGACTCAAATGTTAATCTCCTTTGGCAACACCCTCATAGACACACCCAGAATGAATACTTTGCATCCTTCAATCCAATCAAGTTGACACTCAGTATTAACCATCACAGGTAGTAAATTATTGCTGGTTGAGAACCAGTAAGGGACTCCTATGTCTTTGCTTCATGGGCAACTAAGCAAACAAATAGATGCCTTGTATAACTATTACACTTTCTCTGCGTTTCTTACAGTTTGACCACTGATGTGATTATGTCTCTCTCACTGCTTCCTCTAAATTATTTTCATCAAAACGTAATAAATTATATAAATCTAAAGAGGAGGCTGAAAATTCTCTTTGCTATGGAGGCCTTCAATAATTCACTCTGCTTCCTCCAATACTTCTTGTTTGTCCTCTGCCCCTTATGGACAGACAGTCTAAGTATTCTGCATCCCCTTCCTTCTTTGAGGGTATCCTCGACAATAGAAACCTACAAGAAGGTAAAGAAGAGAAGGATAGTAGTTCATACTTTGAATTTGAACTTTGTACTTCAGAAATTTGGTTAGTTGGGTGAGTACATATTTCTTAAGGTTATCATGGGAGCAAATGAAATAAAAGTATCCATTTTGTCTTTGCATTAATTTTACATGAAAAAGTGTTCCCCCTTTATAGAAATTAGCTATTATGTAGCTAAGATTTGGGATTGAGGCTGTAAACCAGTAACCTTCCTGTATTTCCTTTTGTAATTCAGAGTATATGCAGGGAACTGTAGATAAGCCATATGAATTGCCTTTTTCTTTTAATGCATTCTACAGTATTCATTAATTTATACATATTTTCACTCCTTAAAAATGATACTGTATGTGAGTAAAATGGTTTTATATATTAATCCTTAACTATTCCAAGCAAAGATAAAATAGTACAAAAAATCAGTTTAATGACATTTGGTTTCCTGATAAATTTCAAAGTTGGCCTGAGTCATATTGCTGCTTTTTCACATTAACCTCCAAAATTGCTAACCTGCTTTAAGAGTTTAGGAGCCTGCCTTTCCAAAATTGAAAAGTAATATTTCATTTCCTTATTTTAAGCATTTCTTTTACTGCCTAATAAGTTATAGCTCTGCAAGTATGAGGGCATGATTAAATTTTTTCCTCTCGCTTTTAAGTAGAATAAATAATTCCTTTTTTTGTCAGAGTAGTTTTAGTTTTTATACTATATCATAAATAGCTCATCAGCTGTGTTTGAGAGAACTTTTTTCTCACTAGAAATACTGTTTTTCTATTATTAAAAAAGATACAAAATGTTTGTCTTCTTATGTCTTAAATCAATTGTAATCAATTTTTTAAAAATATTCATTTGGCTAGCTTTGTCTTAATGTGTTTATTTAGTACCCATATTCTAATTAAAATTCACTCAGAATTTGGTATAGCTTCAATATAATTTAATAATATATGTAGGAAAAATGCATATTTACAAATATGTGATTAGGTAATTACAAATGTATAGTTATTGGCTTTCCATTGACCAGTTTGGAAAGTAACAAATGTCTTGTGGCTTGAATCTTTCTATTTGTATATTTAGATACAGGTGAAGAGACAATTAGTGGATTGAGAGAGATTTTTTAAATGACACAGAACATAGCATAGAAAGAAAACTACATGAAATATATGAAAGGTAGAGATTTGTAGACTAAAATGTGAAATTCTGAGACTAGTAAAAGACTCACAAAGACAAGATAGAGCAAATGAAAGAAAGATAATATTTAAAGAGCTCATGGCTAATGATTTTCCAAAAACAGTAAAGAACAGCAGTCTACAGATAGTGAAAACAATATGTAACAAATGAGAAATAAAAAGAAATCCATACCTTGAGATATTATGGTAAAACACAGGTCATCAAATACAAAAAAAAGATGCTCAAAGCAGCTTAAGGGGGAAAAAACACAGATAACCTGAAAAGAAACAATGAAATTTACCACAGACTTCTCAACAGCAATAATGGAAGCTAGAAATCAGTGGAATAACATTTTCAAAGTGCTGAGAGAAAATACTTGTCAACCTAAGATTGAATGCCCACCAAAACTTTACTTCAAGCCAAGGATGAAAAAAAGATAATCAAAAACAGTGTACTATCAAAAGACATAAACTAAAGAAACCTCTGAAAGATAATGATTAGAAAAAATTCAGTAAAATGACAGGAAAAGGAAAAATAATTTCAAAAGGAGAATCTGAGATGCCAGAAGGAGCACTGAGTGAAAAAATTGGCAAATGTGAGTAAATCCAATAAAATCTATATAAAACACCATTACTGCTGCTATTAATACTACTAATAGGTATTATTATCTTATCTAGTTTCAGAGATTGATAAAAAGGACAAAAATAAAATGTTAGACAAAAATTGCATGAAAGCCAGGGGAGGGGGTATAACAGGAACCATCAGTATACCTAGTAAGATTTCCAAGGTAACCCACTAAGAGATTATAATCCAATAAAGGATTACAATCCAATAGAGGGAGGAAATGAAATAAACACAGTTTCAAACAAATAAATATAAATTTTGTAAGTCTATTTTTAAGACAATAAGAGGGATTTTAAGTATAGAAGAAGTGGCACAAACAGAAAGCAAAAAGTAAGATACTGGGAGCAAGTCTAAGAACATTAGCAATTGCTGAGGTACTCTGCAACATAAAAATGTGAAAAGATTGAAAATGAATCGATAGCAAAAAGTTATGCCAGGCAAACACCAACCAAAACAAAACTGGGCATCAATTTTAATGCAACAAATATGACTAGAGATAGGGAAGGTCACTGCATAATAATGAAAGGTACTACTCACTAGAAAAATATAATTATAAGCCTTTTTGTCCACTTAATATCATAGCCTCTGAATATATAAAATTCAATTAAATTAAAGGAAGAAAATGACAAATTCAGCAGTATAATAAATCTTAATATACATTTGTCTGTATTGAACTGTGTACCCAACAATTAGAGAATATACATTCTTTTCAACTGATTAATCATTTACAAAAAGTGCCATAATTTTACCACAAAGTCTCAGCAAATTTCAAAGAATTGTTGTCTCATAGACCACATTCTCTGATAAATAAAAGACCATACCAAAAAGATAAATTTAAAAATTATTACACATTTAGAAATGTTTTAAATCTTTGAATAGCTCATTAACCAAAGAAGAAATACTTTTAACTAGACAAAAACTAAACATGTAAAATTTATATATATATAGTCTTAATCACTTGCATTAGAAAAAGGACAGCTTTGAAGAGAGTAGTGGTTCTCCCAGCACGCAGCTTGAGATCTGAGAATGGGCAGACTGCCTCCTCAAGTGGGTCCCTGACCCCCGAGTAGCCTAACTGGGAGGCACCCCCAGTAGGGGCGGACTGACACCTCACACAGCCGGGTACTCCTCTGAGACAAAACTTCCAGAGGAACGATCAGGCGGCAGCATTTGCAGTTCACCAATATCCACTGTTCTGCAGCCACCGCTGCTGATACCCAGGCAAACAGGGTCTGGAGTGGACCTCCAGTAAACTGCAACAGACCTGCAGCTGAGGGTCCTGACTGTTAGAAGGAAAACTACCAAACAGAAAGGGCATCCACACCAAAAACCCATCTGTACGTCACCATCATCAAAGACCAAAGGTAGATAAAACCACAAAGATGGGGAAAAAACAGAGCAGAAAAACCAGAAACTCAAAATCAGAGTGCCTCTCCTCCTCCAAAGGAACACAGCTCCTCACCAGCAACGGAACAAAGCTGGACAGAGAATGACTTTGACAAATTGAGAGAGGAAGGCTTCAGAAGATCAAACTACTCTGAGCTAAAGGAGGAAGTTCGAACCAATGGCAAAGAAGTTAAAAACTTTGAAAAAAAATTAGACGAATGGATAACTAGAATAACCGATGCAGAGAAGTCCTTAAAGGAACTAATGGAGCTGAAAACCCAGGCACGAGAACTACGTGATGAATGCACAAGCCTCAGTAACCAATGTGATCAACTGGAAGAAAGGGTATCAGCAATGGAAGATGAAATGAATGAAATGAGAAGTTTAGAGAAAAAAGAATAAAAAGAAATGAACAAAGCCTCCATGAAATATGGGACAATGTGAAAAGACCAAATCTACGTCTAATTGGTGTACCTGAAAGTGACGGGGAGATTGGAACCAAGTTGGAAAACACTCTGCAGGATATTATCCAGGAGAACTTCCCCAATCTAGCAAGGCAGGCCAACATTCAAATTCAGGAAATACAGAGAATGCCACAAAGATACTCCTTGAGAAGAGCAACTCCAAGACACATAATTATCAGATTTACCAAAGTTGAAATGAAGGAAAAAATGTTAAGGGCAGCCAGAGAGAAAGGTCGGGTTACCCACAAAGGGAAGCCCATCACACTAACAGCTGATCTCTCAGCAGAAACTCTACAAGCCAGAAGAGAGTGGGGGCCAATATTCAACATTCTGAAGGAAAAGAATTTTCAACCCAGAATTTCATATCTAGCCAAACTAAGCTTCATAAGTGAAGGAGAAATAAAATCCTTTACAGACAAGCAAATGCTGAGAGATTTTGTCACCACCAGGCCTGCCCTAAAAGAGCTCCTGAAGGAAGCACTAAACATAGAAAGGAACAACCGGTACTAGCCACTGCAAAAACATGCCAAAGTGTAAAGACCATCAAGGCTACGAAGAAACTGCATCAAATAACGAGCGAAATAACCAGCTAACATCATAATGACAGGATCAAATTCGCACATAACAATACTAACCTCAAATGTAAATGGGCTAAATGCTCCAATTAAAAGACACAGACTGGCAAATTGGATAGTCAAGACCCATCAGTGTGCTGTATTCAGGAAACCCATCTCACGTGCAGAGACACACATAGGCTCAAAATAAAGGGATGGAGGAAGATCTACCAAGCAAATGGAAATCAAAAAAAGGCAGGGGTTGCAATCCTAGTCTCGGATAAAACAGACTTTAAAACAACAAAGATCAAAAGAGACAAAGAAGACCATTACATAATGGTAAAGGGATCAATTCAACAAGAAGAACTAACTATGCTAAATATATATGCACCCAATACAGGAGCACCCGGATTCATAAAGCAAGTCCTTAGTGACCTACAAAGTGACTTAGACTCCCACACAATAATAATGGGAGACTTTAACACCCCACTGTCAACATTAGACAGATCAACGAGACAGAAAATTAACAAGGATATCCAAGAATTGAACTCAGCTCTGCACCAAGTGGACCTAATAGACATCTACAGAACTCTCCACCCCAAATCAACAGAATATACATTCTTTTCAGTACAACACCACACCTATTCCAAAACTGACCACATAGTTGGAAGTAAAGCACTCCTCAGCAAATGTAAAAGAACAGAGATTATAACAAACTGTCTCTCAAACCACAGTGCAATCAAACTAGAACTTGGGATTAAGAAACTCACTCAAAACCGCTCAACTACATGGAAACTGAACAACCTGCTCCTGAATGACTACTGGGTACATAACGAAATGAAGGCAGAAATAAAGATGTTCTTTGAAACCAATGAGAACAAAGACACAACATACCAGAATCTCTGGGACACATTCAAAGCAGTGTGTAGAGGGAAATTTATAGCACTAAATGCCCACAAGAGAAAGCAGGAAAGATCTAAAATTGACACCCTAACATCACAATTAAAAGAACTAGAGAAGCAAGAGCAAACACATTCAAAAGCTAGCAGAAGGCAAGAAATAACTAATATCAGAGCAGAACTGAAGGAAATAGAGACACAAAAAACCCTTCAAAAAATTAGTGAATCCAGGAGCTGTTTTTTTGAAAAGATCACCAAAATTGATAGACCGCTAGCAAGACTAATAAAGAAGAAGAGAGAGAAGAATCAAATAGATGAAATAAAAAATGACAAAGGGGATATCACCACTGATCCCACAGAAATACAAACTACCATCAGAGAATACTATAAACACTTCTACGCAAATAAACTAGAAAATCTAGAAGAAATGGATAAATTCCTTGACACATACACTCTCCCAAGACTAAACCAGGAAGAAGCTGAATCTCCAAATAGACCAATAACAGGCTCTGAGATTGAGGCAATAATTAATACCTTACCAACCAAAAGAAGTCCAGGACCAGATGGATTCACAGTCGAATTCTACCAGAGATACAAGGAGGAGCTGGTACCATTCCTTCTGAAACTATTCCAATAAATAGAAAAAAAGGGAATCCTCCCTAACTCATTTTATGAGGCCAGCATCATCCTGATACCAAAGCCTGGCAGAGACAAAACAAAAAAAAAAAGAGAATTTTAGACCAATATCCTTGATGAACATTGATGCAAAAATCTTCAATAAAATACTGGCAAACTGAATCCAGCAACACATCAAAAAGCTTATCCACCATGATGAAGTGGGCTTCATCCCTGGGATGCAAGGCTGGTTCAACATATGAAAGTCAATAAACATAATCCAGCATATAAACAGAACCAAAGACAAAAACCAGATGATTATCTCAATAAATGTAGAAAAGGCCTTTGACAAAATTCAACACCCCTTCATGCTAAAAACTCTCAATACATTAGGTATGGATGGGATGTATCTCAAAATAATGAGAGTTATCTATGACAAACCCACAGCCAATATCATACTGAATGGACAAAAACTGGAAGCATTCCCTTTGAAAACTGGCACAAGACAGGGATGCCCTCTCTCACCACTCCTATTCAACATAGTGTTGGAAGTTCTGGCCAGGGCAATCAGGCAGGAGAAGGAAATAAAGGGCATTCAATTAGGAAAAGAGGAAGTCAAATTGTCCCTGTTTGCAGATGACATGATTGTATATCTAGAAAACCCCATCGTCTCAGCCCAAAATCTCCTTAAGCTGATAAGCAAATTCAGCAAAGTCTCAGGATACAAAATCCATGTGCTAAAATCACAAGCATTCTTATACACCAATAACAGACAAACAGAGAGCCAAATCATGAGGGAACTCCCATTCACAATTGCTTCAAAGAGAATAAAATACCTAGGAATCCAACTTACAAGGGATGTGAAGGACCTCTTCAAGGAGAACTACAAACCACTGCTCAATGAAATAAAAGAGGATACAAACACATGGAAGAACATTCCATGCTCATGGATAGGAAGAATAAATATCGTGAAAATGGACATACTGCCTAAGGTAACTTATAGATTCAATGCCATCCCCATCAAGCTACCAATGACTTTCTTCATGGAATTGGAAAAAACTACTTGAAAGTTCATATGGAACCACAAAAGAGTCCACATTGCCAAGTCAATCCTAAGCCAAAAGAACAAAGCTGGAGGCATCACTCTACCTGACTTCAAACTATATTACAAGGCTACAGTAACCAAAACAGCATGGTACTGGTACCAAAACAGAGATATAGACCAATGGAACAGAACAGAGCCCTCAGAAGTAATGCCACATATCTACAACCATCTGATCTTTGACAAACCTGAGAAAAACAAGCAATGGGGAAAGGATTCCCTATTTAATAAATGGTGCTGGGAAAACTGGCTAGCCATATGTAGAAAGCTGAAACTGAATCCCTTCCTTACACCTTATACAAAAATTAATTCAAGATGGATTAAAGGCTTACATGTTAGACCTAAAACCATCAAAAACCCTAGAAGAAAACCTAGGCAATACCATTCAGGACATAGACATGGGCAAGGACTTCCTGTCTAAAACACCAAAAGCAATGGCAACAAAAGCCAAAATTGACAAATGGGATCTAATCAAACTAAAGAGCTTGTGCACAGCAAAAGAAACTACCATCAGAGTGAACAGGCAACCTACAGAATGGGAGAAAATTTTGGCAACGTACTCATCTGACAAAGGGCTACTATCCAGAATCTACAATGAACTCAAACAAATTTACAAGAAAAAAACAACCCCATCAAAAAGTGGGCAAAGGATATGAACAGACATTTCTCAAAAGAAGACATTCATGCAGCCAAAAGACACATGAAAAAATACTCATCATCACTGGCCA
The DNA here is from genome assembly GCF_000001405.40 of Homo sapiens. Taxonomy (NCBI): domain Eukaryota; kingdom Metazoa; phylum Chordata; class Mammalia; order Primates; family Hominidae; genus Homo; species Homo sapiens. The sequence goes on from NC_000002.12 coordinate 148,385,379, forward strand.
TCAGAGAAATGCAAATCAAAACCACAATGAGATACCATCTCACACCAGTTAGAATGGCGATCATTAAAAAGTCAGGAAACAACATGTGCTGGAGAGGATGTGGAGAAATAGGAACACTTTTACACTGTTGGTGGAACTGTAAACTGGTTCAACCATTGTGGAAGTTGGTGTGGCAATTCCTCAGGGATCTAGAACTAGAAATACCATTTGACCCAGCCATCCCATTACTGGGTATATACCCAGAGGATTATAAATCATGCTGCTATAAAGACACATGCACACGTATGTTTATTGCGGCACTATTCACAATAGCAAAGACTTGGAACCAACCCAAATGTCCAACAATGATAGACTGGATTAAGAAAATGTGGCACATATACACCATGGAATACTATGCAGCCATAAAAAAGGATGAGTTCATGTCCTTAGTAGGGACATGGATGAAGCTGGAAACCATCATTCTCAGCAATCTATCGCAAGGACAAAAAACCAAACACCACATGTTCTCACTCATAGGTGGGAATTGAACAATGAGAACACATGGACACGGTAAGGGGAACATCAAACACTGGGGACTGTTGTGGGGTGGGGGGAGGGGGGAGGGATAGCATTAGGAGATATACCTAATGCTAAATGAGGAGTTAATGGGTGCAGCACACCAACATGGCACATGTATACATATGTAACAAACCTGCACGTTGTGCACATGTCCCCTAAAACTTAAAGTATAATAATAATAAAAAAAAAGAAAAAGAAAGGCTACAAATTAAATGACCTAGATTTTCAATTTATTAAGTTATAAAATGAACAAAAGCTTTTAAAAAAGTAAGAATAAGATAATAAAGAGCAGAAATTAATGAAATGAAAACATACATTCAGCCAATGGGATCCACAAAACCTGAAATTACTTAATTTGAAAGACCATAAAATTGACAAACCTGTGGAAGTTTAATTAGTTAAAAATTAAGAAGAAAAACAGAGATAAGTGATATGATTAAAAAAGGGAAGCACACATCTCTGTGAGTAGACATTTAAAAGATAAGAAGATACTTTATGCCGGCCGGGCGCGGTGGCTCACGCCTGTAATCCCAGCACTTTGGGAGGCCGAGGCGGGCGGATCACGAGGTCAGGAGATCGAGACCATCCCGGCTAAAACGGTGAAACCCCGTCTCTACTAAAAATACAAAAAAATTAGCCGGGCGTAGTGGCGGGCGCCTGTAGTCCCAGCTACTTGGGAGGCTGAGGCAGGAGAATGGCGTGAACCCGGGAGGCGGAGCTTGCAGTGAGCCGAGATCCCGCCACTGCACTCCAGCCTGGGCGACAGAGCGAGACTCCGTCTCAAAAAAAAAAAAAAAAAAAAAAAAAGAAGATACTTTATGCCAATAAAGATATGGCATATGTTTTTGTATGCCAATGAACTGTGAAATCTAAGATGAACTGTACCCATTCCTAAGAATTATACCTTACCAGAAGTGACTCAAGAAAATATTGAAAGCTAAAATGGTCCTGTAAATATTAAAGAATCAAATATTTAATTAAAAACTTGTAACTAAAAAATAAAAAGCTTCAGGCCTACATGGCTGTAACTGACCCCTGGCCTTTCAAATGAAGGTCATTTCAAACTTATGCATTCCTCCAGAGAATGGGAAAAGATGGAATATCTCTAAACTCAGCAATGTACATCTATATCAAACCCTTAATAGCCAAACCAGCCAAAGACAGCAAGAGAAAGTAAAAGTACAATGCATTCTCACTCATGAACTTTAATACAAAATCCTAAACATAACATTAGCCGACTGAGTATAATAATGTATATATAAAAAAGAAAATACATCGTGACCACGGAAGGCATCCAAAGAATACAAGTATGGTTTGACATTAGGGAGGAAAATTATTTAGCATATTAACAGATTAATAGAGAAAAAAACATGATCATCTCAATAGAATTTTTTAATTCAGCTGAATCATTCATGAGAGGAATGAAAGAAAAAAAACCTCTTTGCAAAATAGAAAGGAAGTCCTTAACATAATGAAGATAATCTGTGAAGAACATACAGCAAGTATCATTCTTCCCAATGAAGTACTAGAAGCATTTACTTTAAAATCAGAGCAATACGATTGAACATTTTAGTGGAGGTCAGAGTTCCCACAGCAAGAACAGAAAAGAAATACAAAGTATAAGCATTAAAAAGAAAGAAATAAAACTGCCTTCATTTGTCTGAAGGACATGACAAATGAAAATTAAATTATTAGATGTAATAAATAATTAGAAATAATAGAATTAGTAAAAATAGGAGAATTTAGCTACTATTTATTTCACTATAAAATCAGTTTACAAAAATAAGTTGCATTTCTAATACAAAAAAGTTAGAAAAGATAATATTTACTATAGCAACAAAGATATAAAGTACACAGAAATGAAAATAACAAAAATGTGTGTGATCTCTATGAAAAAACTATAGACTTTATTGAACAATATTAAACATCTAAATAGTTTATACGAATATATTAGATCCAATATAATCAAGATGTCAGTTCTCTCCAAATTGATTCATAAATTAATTTGATTCCAGTGAAAAATCCTAACAGGGTTTTTGGGGAATCTAAACTTCATATGAAAAAGCAAAGAGCATGGAATAGCCAAGAGACGAGGGAAATAAGATGGAATTGGCTCTGTCAGAAAATGAGATTTGTTGTAAAGCTGTAAGATTTAAGAAAGTGTGTTATTGGTGGAGAAGAAGACAGCTTGACCAAAGGAACAAAATACATTGTTTTGTGATTACCTAAATATGTGGTAAAAGTTTTTTTCCACACAAAGGAATGGCGAATATAAAATTTAGGAGAATGCAATTGAAAAATATGTTCGAAGTTGGATTTTGTAAATTAGTTAGGGGAGAATTGTTGGTTCCTAAGCACAGATAATTTAGAGAAGTCTTCGGTGACTTATATATGAAATCACTGTGGATATAAACGATTACAAATGTTACTTTTGAACCATTTTATTTAAAAGAATACAATGTTTTCCTGGAAAAATAATTAGGATAATAATTACTTCTGAGGCAGGGAGTTTGAGATTACAGTTAGTATGGGTTTGTAAGCATGTGTTATTTTGCTTCATAGCTCCCATATATGTGTATACATATTTTATACATCATATAATTATATTCATTTTCTAGGGCTGCCTAAGAAAATACCACAGACTGTGTTGCTTAAACAACAAATATTTTATATTCTCACAGATTTGGAGGTTGGAAGTCCAGAATCAAGGTGCTGGCAGGTTTAGTTTCTGCTGAGGCCTCGCTCCTTGGCTTGCAGACAGCTGCATTCTTGCTGTCTTCTCACATGACCTTTTCTCTGTGCATGCACATCTCTGTTGTCATCTCCCTTTTTTATAAGGACACCAGTCCTACTGGATTGGAACCACACCATTATGACCTCATTTTTCAAAATTATTATAATTATTCAAAATTATTATAATTTCAGGGGATACATGTACAGATTTGTTCCATGAGTATGTAATGCTGGGGTTTGGCCTTCTAGTGACTCCATTACCCAAATAGTGAACATAGTACCCAATAGGTAGTTTTTCAACTCTCACCTCCCTCTCCTTACCCCTCTTTTGGAGTCCCTAATGTCTGTTATTTCCATCTTTATGTCCCATTGTTGAGCTCCCACATTTAAGTGTGAACATGCAATATTTAATTTTCTGTTTCTGAGTTACTTCACATAGGATAATGGCCTCCTGCTCCATCCATGTTGCTGCAAAGGACATAATTTCATTCTTTTTATGGCTCCATAGTATTCCGTGGTGTGTGTGTGTGTGTGTGTGTGTGTGTGTGTGTGTGTAATGTGATATAAATAGGAAAAAAAAACATATATATATATATATATATATATATATATATATATATATATATATATATATAACATTTTCTTTATCCAACCCAACCCAGCATTGATGGCACTTAGCTTGATTCCATGACTTTTGCTATTGTGAATAGTATTGCAATGAACATAACAGTGCAGGTGTTTTTTGATGAAATGATTTATTTTACTTTGGATATACACCCAGTAGTGAGATTGCTGGATGGAATGGTAGTTCTATTTTTGTTCTTTGAGAAATCTCCACATCATTTTCTATAGGAATTGAAGTAATTTGCATTACCACCAACAGTGTATAAGCATTCCCTTTCCTCCACATCCTCACCAACGTCTGTTATTTGTTGACTTTTTAGTAATAGCCATTCTGACTGGTGTGAGATGGGATCTCATTGTGGTTTTGATTTGTATCTCCCTGATGATTAGTGATGTTGAGTATTTTTTCACATGTTTGTTGGATGTTTGTATGTCTTCTTTTGAGAAGTGTCTGTTCATGTCCTTGGGCCACTTTTTAATGGAGTTATTCACTTTTTTCTTGTTGATTTGTTTAACTTCCTTATAGATTCTGGATATTAGACCTTTGTGGGATGCACAGTTTGCAAATATTTTCTCCCATTCTGTAGGTTGTCTCTTTGTTGATTTTTTCTTTTACTATGCCGAGCTCTTTAGTTTAAGTCCTATTTGTCTGTTTTTGTTTCTGTCGCATTTGCCTTTGGTCTTAGTTAAAAATTATTTGTCTAAGCCGATGTCCAGAAAAGTTTTTCCTAGGTTTTCTTCTAGAATTTCTAGTTTCAGGTCTTACATTTAAGTCTTTAATACATCTTGAGTTAATTTTTTAATATGGTGAGTGGTAGAAGTCCAGTTTCATTCTTCAGCATATGGCTAGCCAGTTTTCTCAGCACCATTTATTGAATAGGGGGTCCCTTCCCTGTTGCATATTTTTGTTGTCTTTGTCTAATATCAGTTGGATGTAGGTGTGTGGCTTTACTCTTGGTTTCTCTATTCTGTTGCATTGATCTGTGTGTCTATTTTTGTACCAGTACCATGCTGTTTTGATTATTACATTATAACCTATTTAATCTTAATTACCTCCTTAAAGGCCGTATTTCTATATGCAGTCACTTTAGGGGTTAGGGCATCAACATTTGAATTTTCAGTCTATAATAATTATATATATATGTGTGTATATATGTAAGTATATATATGTGTGTGTATATATATAAGTATATATATGTGTATATATGTGTGTGTATGTATATATGTGTGTGTGTGTGTATATGTGTGTATATATATACGTGTATGTGTGTATATATATATATATATATACATACTTTTTGAGATGGGGTCTCACTCTGTCGCCCAGGCTGGAGTATAATGGCATGATCTCAGCTCACGGTAACCGTGACCTCCTGGGCTCAAGTGATCCTCCCACCTCATCCTCCCAAGTAGCTGGCATTACAGGCATGCACCACACCCAGCTAAATTTTTGTAGAGATGGAGTTTCACCATGTTGCCCTGGTCTCGAACTCCTGGGCTCAGGCGAACCTCCCACCTTGGTCTCCCAAAGTGCTGGGAAATCAGGCGTGAGCCACTGTGCCCAGCCTATAGTAATAATTGTTAATTACAAATTTTAAATAAAATATACATCCTATGCACGTCCTTTTTGGTGTTCAGAAGTTCTTAATAATATTAATCCCTTTTGGAATTTCTTTCCATATTTCTCTAAGGAATTCAATTTAAAAGGTCTATATAGGATAGGAATGATTACAGCCTTTAACAGGCATATTCACAAATCACTCTGCAAAGTCTGAAGTCTACATTTCAAGCCAATAAATTGAAACTCCCAAGACTCTTTAATAAACCTAGTAATAGATGAGACAAGAGAAGAAAATGTCCTGAGGTTTCTGAATATTTTATTTAATCAAGTCGTATTTCAGGGTTATTTGTTTCTTCCATTAAGGGCTTACAAAAATGCTGATTATTTTTAGATGTTTTAGAAAACAGTGTTAAAGAACAGTATTTACTGGGAAAATATACAGCTAAATATAGTTTTATCATATGAGTATATATTTTAGCACAAACAAAAAAATTTACAGGTTTAATTTGCAGCTATATTTTTGACATTTTATTGCTTCACTCGGACTAAATGACTCAATGACTTAATATTTCTCTGCACTGCCTACTAGGGATTTTAGCAAATACCAGGATGATTTGATGTAATTTATATTACTTAAATCTTTTTCCTGCCTGAATGTAATGTTTGACTTTATAATGTTTTTCTTTTGACATCATATATTTCACAAGTAATATACTTTGGGATCACCTAAAACAAGGAATGGGTTTCTTATCAGCAGACAACATTCCTCTCTAATATGGTCATCTTCCTGATTTTAGAAAGCATATAAATAAAAATTAATGGAAGCTTCCAGATGTTTTTACAATAGGCACATTTATTTCAATTATTCTGTATTTTGTCAAAGCCTAATTCCCTGAAAGCTAATAGGTATATTGATGAAGTTATCAGATAAAAGCAAATATTTACAAATCATCATTCTGAAAACAGATAAGTTAATATTGGCTTAGGTTTTGCATCTGTTCATCAAGGAACAAAGATATACAACATGTATCTCTACAAAAGGATATTTCCCTTGACCCTTATATGTGTGCACAATTTTTTCCTGTTCTTTCTTCTTGTATTGCATTATTGGAAAACTTAATAATTTTTTGTTGTAGCCTGCCTCCAAGTCTAGTATAGCACATATGTAAATTTTTGTTTTTCTTTTTTCTCACAAAGTAGAAATTAGCTCATTGGTTTTTTTTCTGAATATAACAGTGATACTATTTATTACAGATGTCTGTTTTTCTAATAATACAGACAAAGTTCATATTAGACTATGGTTTTTGGAAGACATGGTATCACATTTCATTATTGCTATAGTTATTCTATAATAAACAATGTAGACAGCGACATAGCATGAATCCAAATTTCAAATCTTTGTTATGGTTTTTGATTGGCTTTTATTAGCAAAAATAAACTGGGGAACTGCCAAATACTCTATTTCTTTATGATATTATAGATCAGTGTTTTTCAATTTGTTGTGTCTAGACTTTCACTTCTGTAAAAATTACCTGGAGTTGCTTGTTAAAAATACAGATGCCAAAATGCTACCCTAGTCTTCTCAATCTGATATCTTCAGTTTGGCCTGGAGTTCTGAATTTTCACGCACAATGCTGATGATTCTTAGGCTACTGTTTGAGAGCCACTTATGTACACCATAGCCTGAGTAAGGTACAAGCTTTGTTCCCTGGCTTTTTTGGTGTGTTTAATTTTCCAAATTACTTCTTGAGAATATTTTATCTGTCTGACAGTTATTTTATGCCTTTATTTAAATCAAACAGCAACTTAAACCAATGAGAGCCAGCCTCAGCTCTGGCTCTGTGCTAAAAGGCCTTCCCTACTCCAGTTTATCTAAGGAACTTCTCTTCATCCTTTACAGCCTGTTACTGGCCTGTGCTTGCCTTCATCAGGCCTGGGGTATAGAGAGCATTCATAAAATCGGACCCATTCTTAATACAGTGAGCTTAGGAATTATTTTCTCTTTATTTATTTAAATAAATATTTAGTTCATTGTTAACAGGGGATAATGGTTACAATGAAAGATTTATTTTCATTTCTTTATTTAATGTCATTGCAAATTGGAAACATTTTTAAAAACTCACTGCCCTTCAGCCTCTTAAATATAGCCTGTAATCCTCTGCTAGAGGTTACAGTATATTTCTTTTCTGCATTTCCAGGATTTAGTTAGTCCTGGAAATATTATAGGCCATAGGACTTTTGATATTGTTTGTTATAGAGAGACCAAGGGAGCTAAAGATAAAGGCCTTGTAAAATTATTCAGTTCTCACTCCTGTGAGAGTATCTAAATAAAGGAAAACAAGAAATTACCAGCATGTTTTAGAGAATTGAGAAGTTTGGCAATCCTATGGGAAGGTATTTCCATGTAATCTTTTAAATTTATGCCCACCCAATCTGTTTTCCATAGGTTTCAGAATCTCCTCTTCAACTACCTACAATGAAGAAATAAATCACCTCCAACAGTCAAAAGTCTGAAATTAAGGAAAGTAAACAGTATATTACCCAGACTAGTTAAAATAACAAGACAGTAAAGTGACACAGTCTATGATTGACGTCTCCTTTTCCAAGGACATCTCTCACAGATGTAATCTTCACAGGTTAGCAGGGAGTTGATGTTGAAACCATACTAAGAAACAGATTGTGCACCCCCAAAATAAAAAAGAACAAAAAAAATTGATCCCTATGCACCAACACTATAAACCAGTGCTTCTAAATTAACTAAATTATCCTAACTCAAGTTAACCAGATATACCAAATTTGAGGGTCAGCAGCAAACATCTCCTTGTCCTTGTCCATTACCCTGGTCTCTTCTCACTTTATCCTGGTTTTGAATTTGAGTTTCTAGTTTACCAACTTTGATAGACACAGAAAGCACAGCCTCCTTTCAGATGAACTTCAGATAGAACAGATATTCTTGGTGTTCACATTCAACTCTAATTCACCTGAAAGATTAGTAGCAGTGACACAATACAGTGGAATGGGAGGGGAAGCTGGCATGTTGGGGGCAATAGGAGTTATTGAGAGTCACTGAGGATATATTGAAATTTTGAATTGAAAAGAAAAGGTTATGCTTATAACTAGGGTAGACATTTAGGCAATGTTACCTTATTGCTGTCTAGTGTTACTTGTACTTTTTACTGCTTTATGTTACAAATGTTCTGATTTAAGATATACAAATAGCAAATGCATTTTTGCACCCATAAGTATGTGGGGTCCTGTTGTTTTCTGACATCCTAAATTCACTGCGTGGCTATATTGTTTTTTCTTTAGTGGTATTATTTTCACCTTATGTTGGAATCAAGATTATAATAGCCTCATAAATAATAACTTGAGTAGCTTTTGCTCTTTCTATGTTTCCTGGAACAACTTAAAATAAGAATTCACTATACCTTGAAAATTTGGTAGAATCTACTAGTTATTTTACTCTGGGGTTTCCTGAGATGGGTGGTCTTTGGCTATCACTTTAATTTCTTTATTTCTTATTCAAGTCTATGTTATAACAATTTTGATATCCTATATTTTTCTGGGAATTCATATATTTCATTTCTATCTTCAAATATTTTAGTATATAATTGTTCATAATAACCATTCTTATGTTTCTTAATCTCTGTGGTGTCTACAGTTAATTCCCTTTTTTCATTCTGTACTTTGGTTTTTTTTTTTTTTTCATTTTTTTGTTCATTCCATACCTTATTTGAACATTCTGTCTTTTGTCTTTTTTTAGTCTCAACAAAAGTATGCTTATGTTATTAATATTTTCAAGTAATCAGCTTTTGATTTGCTATTTTTTCTTGTTATTATTTTGTTAGTGCTGTTCTCAATTTCATTCTGTCTTTATATTTATTATTTCCTTCCTTGTTTCTTTGTGCTTGCTCTGTGCCTCTCTTTTAACTTCTTTAGTTAGATGCTTAACTCATTTAATTTTAACCCATTTTGTTTCATGATGAATATATTATTGATATGAACTTTCTTCTAACTCCTATATCAACACCTTTTCTTACTTTCTTCCTAAGATCAATGAAGTTTAGGTTTTTCATTCCTGTTTGAGGCCAACCATTTCCAAGTTTACTTTTCCTTTCCTATCTCCTCCATGGCTTTGTTTTTAGTCTTTGTCTCAGTGTTGGAGCTCAGGATGTGGAACAGAAAACCCATTCATGCTAAGAGAAAAGGTGAGTTAGTATAAGGATACCAGTGGACCATACCTGGAAAGCTATGAGATACCAATGCAGTTTGCTGTCTCCCCTTAAGGGATATAGTTTCCCATGGAGCCTCTGCTTCTCTCTATTCATGTTTGGCCTATTCTGTTTTCTCTAAAAGCTAGTTTCCTCATGTTCTACTTCACAGATATTTCCTTTAGCCACTTATGGTTTTTGTTTCATCTAACTTCAGCTTTAACATGGCTCATTACTGCTGCACCATCCTTTGTTTTTACACCACTACCCTTTCATCTGAGTTTCTACGCTATTCAGTCAATTATTTCCATATTTCTTAGTTTATACTCCTAATGAAGAGAATCCATTGGCCCAACTCATCTTTTTTTTTTTTTTTTTTCACAGAGTCTCACTCTGTTGCCCAGGCTGGAGTGCGGTGGCGCAATCTTGGCTCACTGCAACCTCTGCCTCCCAGGCTCAAGCAATTCTCCTGCTTCAGCCTCCCGAGTAGCTGGGATCACAGGCATGCACCACCACACCCGGCTAATTTTTGTAGTTTTAGTAGAGACAGGGTTTTACCATGTTGGCCAGGCTGGTCTCGAACTCCTGACCTCAGGTGATCCACCCTCCTCGGCCTCTCAAAGTGCAGGGATTAGAGGCGTGAGCCACCGTGCCTGGCCCCAACTCATCTTTTCATAATAGGTAACAGGTCATTAACCAACGTGTATGCCTAATGTTAGTCAGTCAGCTATACTGAGGGGTGAGGAATCACACCATATAAGCCACACTCTCATGGGCAAGAGCTGTGGGCAGGGTATTTCCACCTCATGATGTGAACAGGCTCCGGCAATCTCTAATAGCCCTCCAGTTCTTATACATTCAGTTTTACTCCACTGGTTTTTTCCACCTTACACCTTAATGTTATTTGTCTTGTCACTCTAAAAAATACTCTCTTTTGATGTTGTTTTTTTCTAGCTGTGTTCAACTCATTCTTCTTTTCCCCTCATCCATTGTTCTCAAAAGTATAATATTTGCTGTGTTCACATTCTCATCTCTCATTAACTTTTTATCCCATTAAAACTGAGCTTCCTCTTCTATTACATTCCTGGAACTGCTCTCGCTAAGGGAACCAGTGATCTTCCAGTTGTCATATCCAGTGGATACAGAGGCAGTCAACTGTGTTGGAGCCATGGTATGGAGACCTCCTTACTTGCCCCTCCTCCTTCAGCTAGAGCTTAGTGAGCTAGAGCCAGAGCTGGTGTTAGAGAGCAATGGCAGCATGGTGACCATGCACAGCGGCGGCTACAAGCAAAATTCCACTGCCCTGTTTTCAATATCTAACATTCATGGCAGCTTTCTTCCACAAATGTTCCACTCCCTTGATTTCCATGAATCTACACTTTCACAGTGCTGCTCATAACCTCTGGATATTCTTTCTTTTTTTCCTTTTGTAGATTCCATGCTTACCTACTACTTTTTTTATTCTGTGTACTCTCCACTTTTGTAGATCCGAGTATCACAGATAAGCTGCTGATTCCAAAATTCACATTTCCAACCTAGACTTATTCTCCACCTTGCTCTTTGTGCAGTCACCTTTATGACTATGTCAAAGAGCTTTCTTGCCTTCTGGCTTCCAGTTGGGTTTGGCCCAATGAAAGGCATTTGGAAAAGATCAGAAGGTGGGAAGTGAGTGAGACTGGGGTATTCTTACAGGGTTGCCACAGGTTAGCTACATCCATTTACTGAAGGGCACAACTCCTGTCAACACCCAGGAAGTGCCCTTTTCTGACTTAGATATGATAATGGGTCTCCAATATTGCCTGTGTCAGTTCCCTTAAACCTTGCCCATGTCCTTATAGATAAATTTTTCTGCAAATTACACTTTTGAGCGTACTGTCTTTTTTTCTACCAGGACCCTGACTCATATAACATATGAGTTATAACTTATTTACCATGCCTTTCCTAAACTCCTTACATTGTCCTGAGGCCCCACACAGCCATATAATTACTAAGACTTGCTGATTTCAGATCCCAAATATTACTCAAGTATATACCTTTTCTCTCTTTTCACTCTTAAAATCCTAGAGGCCCTTAATACATCTCTATGAATTTTTTTTAAGTGTGAGATAGAAAAGGACTGATTAAGGTAAACTGTGTAGTAAAAATTGTCAACCACCAGCAAACTGATCATATGGTCAACGTGATTATATTTGGCTTTATTATTCTCTAGCTAATACATGAATGTGCATCTTGTGGCCCAAATGTTTCTGTCTTCTGATCCTTTTTTTTTTTTTTTTTTTTTTGAGACGGAGTCTCGCTGTCTCGCCCAGGCTAGAGAGCAGTGGCACGATCTCGGCTCACTGCAAGCTCCGCCTCCCAGGTTCACACCATTCTCCTGCCTCAGCCTCCCGAGTAGCTGGGACTACAGATGCCCGCCACCACGCCCGGCTAATTTTTTTATTTTTTACTAGAGACAGGGTTTCACCATGTTAGCCAGTATGGTCTCGATCTACTGACCTCGTGATCCACCCGCCTCGGCCTCCCAAAGTGCTGAGATTACAGGCGTGAGCCACCGCGCCCAGCCTGATCCTTATATTTTATTTATTTTATTTTATTTTTTATTATACTTTAACTTTCAGGGTACATGTGCACAACGTGCAGGTTTGTTACATATATATACATGTGCCATGTTGGTGTGCTGCACCCGTTAACTCCTCATTTAGCATTAGGTATATCTCCTAATCCTATCCCTCCCCTCTCCCCCTACCCCACAACAGGCCCCAGTGTGTGATGTTCCCCTTCCTGTGTCCATGTGTTCTCATTGTTCAGTTCCCACCTATGAGTGAGAACATGCAGTGTTTGGTTTTTTGTCTTTTGCGATAGTTTGCAGAGAATGATGGTTTCCAGCTTCATCCATATCCCTACAAAGGACATGAACTCATCATTTTTTATGGATACATAGTATTCCATGGTGTATATGTGCCACATTTTCTTAATCCAGTCTATCATTGTTGGACATTTGGATTGGTTCCAAGTCTTTGCTATTGTGAATAGTGCTGCAATAAACATACGTGTGCATGTGTCTTTATAGCAGCATGTTTTATACTCCTTTGGGTATATACCCAGTAATGGGATGGCTGGGTCAAATGGTATTTCTAGTTCTAGATCCCTGAGGAATCGCCACACTGACTTCCACAATGGTTGAACTAGTTTACAGCCCCACCAACAGTGTAAAAGTGTTCCTATTTTTCCACATCTTCTCCAGCACCTGTTGTTTCCTGACTTTTTAATGATCGCCATTCTAACTGGTGAGATGGTATCTCATTGTGGTTTTGATTTGCATTTCTCTGATGGCCAGTGATGATGAGCATTTTTTCATGTGTCTTTTGGCTGCATAAATGTCTTCTTTTGAGAAGTGTCTGTTCATATCCTTAGCCCACTTTTTGATGGGGTTGTTTGTTTTTTTCTTGTAAATTTGTTTGAGTTCATGGTAGATTCTGGGTATTAGCCCTTTGTCAGATGAGTAGATTGCAAAAAGTTTCTCCCATTCTGTAGGTTGCCTGTTCACTCTGATGGTAGTTTCTTTTGCTGTGCACAAGCTCTTTAGTTTAATTAGATCCCATTTGTCAATTTTGGCTTTTGTTGCCATTGCTTTTGGTGTTTT